>NC_000013.11:113723020-113880847 GCF_000001405.40 Homo sapiens
CTCCCGGCGCCTGTCCTGTGCAGCCAGGGGTGACTCCGCTATCTGCCTCTCAGGCAATGTCCGGATCTCTGACCTTGGGCTGGCCGTGGAGCTGCTGGACGGACAGAGCAAGACCAAGGGCTACGCAGGGACCCCAGGTAAGGGTCTGAGCGCAGCTGGGGAGGCTCCGTGCATGGGTTACGTCCCTGTGTACATGTGTGTGCCTGTGTGCACTTGCACATACATGTGAGTTTGTGTATATAGGTGTGTCTGTGTGCACATGGGCGTCTGTGTGGTTGTGCATTTGTGTGCATGTGAGTGTTGTGAACCCTGATATCTGAGGCAGGTACCAGTTAATTTAGAAAGTTTATTTTGCTGAGGTTGAGGACGCGAGTCCGTGGCAGCCTCAGGAGGTCCTGATGACAGGTGGTCGCCGCACAGTTTGGTTTTACACATTTTAGGGAGCCATGAGACATCAATCAGCATATGTAAGATGAACACTGGTTCGGTCTGGAAAGGCGGGAGGGGGCTTCCAGGTCATAGGAAGATGAGAGACAAATGGTTACATTCTTTTGAGTTTCTGATGAGTCTCTCCAGAGGAGGCAATCAGATAAGCATTTATCTCAGTGAACAGAGGGCTCACTGAGAGGACTTTGAATACAATGGGAGGCAGGTTTGCCATAAGCAGTTCCCAGCTTGACTCTTTCCTTTAGTGATTTTGGGTCTCAAGATATTTTCCTTTTACAGTGTGCCTGTGTGCATGCCTGTGTCTCTGTGCACACACGTGTGTCTGTGTGCCTGCATGTGTGCCTGTGTGCCCATGCCTGTGTCTCTGTGCACACGTGTCTGTGTGCCTGTGTGTGCATGCCCGTGTCTGTGCACACACGTGTCCGTGTACCTGTATGTGCATGCCTGCATCTTTGTGCACACATGTGTATCCGTGTGCCTGTGTCTGTGTGCATGTGTTCCTGTGTATGCATGCCCGGGTCTCTGTGCACACGTGTGTCCGTGTGCCTGTATGTGAGTGCACATGCACGGTGCATCCTACTGCCTCCCCCATCCCGTGTCACTCATCTCCTCTCACCTCCCCCCAGGCAGGGAGGCTCGCAGCACCTGTGGAGGAGAGGAGACCCCCACAGTCAAGCAGAGCGGGGTCCGTGTTCTGGGCCCAGCACCTGCTGGCGTGTGGCCTGTGTGCTTTACTTAACCTCCGAGCCTCCTGCTAGCACTCGGTGCACAGGCTTGCTGAGGAGACCTCACACGCCACGTGCCCGGCGCCTGTGTACAGCAGCCACACCGTGAATTTGAGTTCTTCCTCTCTCCTCCGCAGTCTTGAGGGTCCGCGTGTCGGGCTCACTTCTGCTGGGATTTCCAGAGAATGTCGCTTCCCCGTGGTTGTTTTGGCTGTGGGGAGGCAGTGCTGTCGCCTGATGGGGTTTGTGTGCGGTGGTGTTTTGGGTCCTCCCATGCTGGTGTTTAGGCACTGGGCGTATTTGTGCCGTGGCCACGGGGGGGACATCCTCGCTCCAGCTGGACTTAGGGGAAGGTGCATCTCGGGGTGGGGGCTAAGGACTGTTTCCCCAAAGTTCTGACGAAGGGCAGTTCTGTGCCCACACCCCTCATGGCTGGGTTGCCATCTGGATGTGGGATTCCGTAGCCACTGAGTGCTCAGGGCCAGTGGTCGAAGGTCTCAAAACTTTCTGGAAGGCAGCTCATCCTGGGGGATCCCATGGCTCAAGGAAGCCTCGGGTGGCACCTGCTTTTCGTGAGATGATCCAAGCCTCTTTCTGGGTGGGTAGAAACGGTTGGCGCTGCGGCCCTCGAGTCTTTGGGACCCTTGCCAAGCCTGGGTGTGAGCGCGTGGGTGGAAGCCCCCTCACGCATTTCGGGGAGATCCAGGTGGACTCCGAGGCCAGGACTGGAAGAGTTAACCTCACGGATGGAAAGGGCCCAGCTTCCAGGCCGAGGGTGAGGGCCCGACTGGCCGCCAGGGGGCCCCAAGCCTTCGCCGGCGCCCGTTCCTCGGAGCCCCAGGTGCTCACAGCAGGGCTGGGCTCAGGCTGTGACCCCTGCACAGTGACCTGGAGATGCTGCCGTCAGGGTGCAGGCTGGGAGGCCGGTGTCAGTTCAGCAAAGCCGCAGGGTCCGCATCCTTCTTCCTGGCACCCTCGCGCCCTCCCACGCGCCCCCCACGCAGCGAGAGACACCACAGCCATAAGAAGCCTGTCGGGGGACTCCCCCTTGCCAGTGCGGTGCGGACCCAGGGGCGTGCACAGGGCGGGGCCGGTCATGCGCGGTCCTAGTTTGAGGTCAGGGGCGGGATCCAGGGGCGTGCACAGGGCGGGGCCGGTCATGCGCGGTCCTAGTTTGAGTTCAGGGGCGGGATCCAGGGGCGTGCACAGGGCGGGGCCGGTCATGCGCGGCCCTAGTTTGAGGTCAGGGGCGGGATCCAGGGGCGTGCACAGGGCGGGGCCGGTCATGCGCGGTCCTAGTTTGAGTTCAGGGGCGGGATCCAGGGGCGTGCACAGGGCGGGGCCGCTCATGCGCGGCCCTAGTTTGAGTTCAGGGGCGGGATCCAGGGGCGTGCACAGGGCGGGGCCGGTCATGCGCGGTCCTAGTTTGAGTTCAGGGGCGGGATCCAGGGGCGTGCACAGGGCGGGGCCGGTCATGCGCGGCCCTAGTTTGAGGTCAGGGGCGGGATCCAGGGGCGTGCACAGGGCGGGGCCGGTCATGCGCGGTCCTAGTTTGAGTTCAGGGGCGGGATCCAGGGGCGTGCACAGGGCGGGGCCGGTCATGCGCGGCCCTAGTTTGAGGTCAGGGGCGGGATCCAGGGGCGTGCACAGGGCGGGGCCGGTCATGCGCGGTCCTAGTTTGAGGTCAGGGGCGGGACCCAGGGGCGTGCACAGGGCGGGGCCGGTCATGCGCGGTCCTAGTTTGAGGTCAGGGGCGGGATCCAGGGGCGTGCACAGGGCGGGGCCGGTTATGCGCGGTCCTAGTTTGAGGTCAGGGGCGGGATCCAGGGGCGTGCACAGGGCGGGGCCGGTTATGCGCGGTCCTAGTTTGAGGTCAGGGGCGGGATCCAGGGGCGTGCACAGGGCGGGGCCGGTCATGCGCGGTCGTAGTTTGAGGTCAGGGGCGGGATCCAGGGGCGTGCACAGGGCGGGGCCGGTCATGCGCGGTCGTAGTTTGAGGTCAGGGGCGGGATCCAGGGGCGTGCACAGGGCGGGGCCGGTCATGCGCGGCCCTAGTTTGAGGTCAGGGGCGGGATCCAGGGGCGTGCACAGGGCGGGGCCGGTCATGCGCGGCCCTAGTTTGAGGTCAGGGGCGGGATCCAGGGGCGTGCACAGGGCGGGGCCGGTCATGCGCGGCCCTAGTTTGAGGTCAGGGGCGGGATCCAGGGGCGTGCACAGGGCGGGGCCGGTCATGCGCGGCCCTAGTTTGAGGTCAGGGGCGGGATCCAGGGGCGTGCACAGGGCGGGGCCGGTCATGCGCGGTCCTAGTTTGAGTTCAGGGGCGGGAGAATTTGTGAACAGAGCAGGTAGAGCTGTCTCCCTCACGCTTTCTGTCAATATTTACTGGCCGCTGCGTGGCTGCAGGTCCCTCAGGAGGCCTGGGGCACAAACAGGTGCGCCGTCCGGGCTGCATCATGGGGGTCAGGCCAGGAGGGCTGGGGGCTCCTTGGCCCAGGAACTGACAGGAGCCTGCGGTCTGGTGGGCCTTGCTCGTGCCCGGCCTGGGAGCTGAGAAGGCTCTGGGTGGGTCTAGAGGCTGTGATCGTGTGAGCAGTTCCTCCCCGGAGTCTGGGCAGAATTCTGACGTCCGTGTAATCCTGGACCAGTAGGGCATATTCAGGGCCTGTGGTTCTGTGAGGCAGGGTTCCTGCAACTCTTTTGGGGAAAAAGGATTCTGTGGCCACATCAGCCTGGCCCTCAGGCACGGTGAAGGACCAGGAAGGACCTTGACTCAGAAGTGTCAAAACTGACCAGCCCCAGCAGCCCCCATGCCCCAGCCTGCGGCCTCTCTGCCTGGTCCCAGGACATCCGTCATGGGTCTCCCAACGGGCCTGTCCGCCACTGTGTGCCGGGTTGGCCTCACTTGGGTAGCAGCTGGCAAGTTGACATAACTCACACAGGCCCCATGTGCCACACAGAGCTGGCTCGGGGGCCAGGCAGGTGTCTGAACTTCTCCTGGAGTCTGACTCACCAGAGCAGACGTCTGCCAAGGACCCTGCTTGGTCAGCATGCAGCCATCTGGAGGGAGGGCCCAGAGCTCATGGCTGCCGCCACTGGAGACAAGAGGGCGGAGCACTCAGGGAGGCAGCCCACGGTCTATGGACTGGGTTGTGGGTTGTGGACTGTGGGCTGTAGGGTGTGGACTGTGGGCTTTGAGGTGTGGCCTGTGGTCTGTGATCTGTGGCCTGTAGGCTGTGGCCTGTGGACCGTGGGCTGTGGACAGCAGCCTGTGGACTGTGGGCTGTGGACTGTGGGGTGTGGGCTGTGGCCTTGGACAAGTTGCTGCACATCCCCATCATGAGTACCCATGGCAATGAGGAGTACCCATGGCGATGAGGACCCATGGCAATGAGGAGTACCCATGGCAATGAGGAGTACCCATGGCGATGAGGACCCATGGCGATGAGGAGTACCCATGGCGATGAGGACCCATGGCGATGAGGAGTACCCATGGCGATGAGGACCCATGGCGATGAGGAGTACCCATGGCGATGAGGAGTACCCATGGCGATGAGGACCCATGGCGATGAGGAGTACCCATGGCGATGAGGAGTACCCATGGCGATGAGGACCCATGGCGATGAGGAGTACCCATGGCGATGAGGAGTACCCATGGCGATGAGGAGTACCCATGGCGATGAGTACCCATTGCGATGAGGAGTACCCATGGCAATGAGGAGTACCCATGGCGATGAGGAGTACCCATGGCGATGAGGAGTACCCATGGTGATGAGGACCCATGGCGATGAGGAGTACCCATGGCGATGAGTACCCATGGCGATGAGGAGTACCCATGGCGATGAGGAGTACCCATGGCGATGAGGAGTACCCATGGCGATGAGGACCCATGGCAATGAGGAGTACCCATGGCAATGAGGAGTACCCATGGCGATGAGGAGTACCCATGGCGATGAGGAGTACCCATGGCGATGAGGAATACCCATGGCGAGGAGTACCCATGGCGATGAGGAGTACCCATGGCGATGAGGAGTACCCATGGCGAGGAGTACCCATGGCGATGAGGAGTACCCATGGCGATGAGGAGTACCCATGGCGATGAGGAGTACCCATGGCGATGAGGAATACCCATGGCAAGGAGTACCCATGGTGATGAGGAGTACCCATGGCGATGAGGAGTACCCATGGCGAGGAGTACCCATGGCGATGAGGAGTACCCATGGTGATGAGGAGTACCCATGGCGATGAGGAGTACCCATGGCGAGGAGTACCCATGGTGATGAGGAGTACCCATGGCGATGAGGAGTACCCATGGTGATGAGTACCCATGGCCAGCTCATGGCGTATAGTGGACTGCTGTGCCTGGCACTCAGGGCAGGCTGGAGCAAGTGCTGTGCTCATCACCATGGCAGCATTGCAGCGGGGCCCGGAGGGTCTGTGGCCATCACTCAGAGACGCCCCGGCTCCGTGGAACAGGCACAGGGCTGGACCACGGAAGTGCCTGAGCCGAGACAGGTGGGATCTGCGGTTTCCACCCTGGAGGGGAAGCTTGCTCACAAGGAGAGGGAAGCCTCAGTGTGTGGCTGTGGCCTCGAACCTCATCCCTATGAAGAAGGAGGGATGCCCTGGAGAGGGCGGAAGGGCCGGGGAGGGCACAGCCCGGCTGGTGGGGTCTGCAGGGAACCACAAAAGGTGGACAAGGCCCGGCAGGTGGGCAAGCCTTAGCCAGAGGTGGGAGGAGAGGAGAGGACCCCATGCCAGCCTGAGCAGCGTGGGGGTGCCCGGAGGCTGCAGCCCACACTGGATTCCATCTTCTCTGTGAGGAGCAGTTGGGAAGGGCTCGAGAGGTGCTTGGCTGCCTCAGAGTCAGGCCGCGGTGAAGGGAGGCGCCTTTTAGGGTGCTGAGGACTCGAGCTGAGACTGTGGGACGAGGCAGAGAACTCAGCTTCAGCAAACTAGACATATGTGAGCCTGGTGTGGCTTCCAGGCACGAACCTAGAGTAGGGGTGTTTGTGAGTGTGAAAGCACTGAGCCTAGAGATCTGCCTTGACGTTAGCAAGACACCAACAGATGTGCGAGCGAGGCTCCAGGCTCCATCGCTCCCTGATCCGCTGGCGGAGCCAGAACACAGAGCGTGGAGTGGAAAGTGTGTTTTGAATTTAGTAAAGTGTTGGGAAGCAGCCACTCAGATACTCTCGTGGACAGAGCTGATGGCTGGACACACATGTGATCTGCTTTCCCTCCTGAAGTCCCGGGACAGGGGCAGTGAAGGGATCTCGCTAAAAGTACAAACCCACGTGCTCAAAGGAGGGTGTGAGCGGCAGCGTCATGGCAGCTGGAAGACTGATGATGGGTGAGGGGAGCCGGCAGCTGACACAAGGAAGCAGAATGCTAAGCTGCTGCCAGAGCCCTGAAGCTGCACAGAACTGTCAGTGCCCAGTGCCTGGTGTCCGTGCAAAGGTGACCTTGGCAGATGAATGACTGCATGAGAGCAGCTGCACACAGAGCTGTCCCTCCGCCCTCTGTCCTGTGACGGTCCCCACAGCTGTGCCCAGACCCGTCCCTCCATCTGAGACAGTCCCTGCGGCTGTGCCCAGACCCACCCCTCCATCCCGAGACAGTTGCCACGGCTGAGCCCAGACCCGTCCTTCCATCCCGAGACAGTCCCCATGGATGCGCCCAGACCCGTCCCTCCATCCGGAGACAGTCCCCGCGGCTGCACCCAGACCCATCCCTCCATCCCAAGACAGTCCCCGCGGCTGCGCCCAAACCCGCCCCTCCATCTGGAGACAGTCCCCACGGCTGAGCCCAGACCCGTCCCTTCATCCTGACACAGTCCCCGTGGCTGCACCCAGACCCGTCCCTCCATCCCGACACAGTCCCCCAGTCCCCGTGGCTGAGCCCAGACCCGCCCCTCCATCCCGACGCAGTCCCCCAGTCCCCGCGGCTGCACCCAGACCCGTCCCTCCATCCCGACGCAGTCCCCCAGTCCCCGCGGCTGCACCCAGACCCGTCCCTCCATCCCGACACAGTCCCCCAGTCCCCGTGGCTGAGCCCAGACCCGCCCCTCCATCCCGACACAGTCCCCCAGTCCCTGCGGCTGCACCCAGACCCGTCCCTCCATCCCGACAGTCCCCCAGTCCCCGCAGCTGAGCCCAGACCCGCCCCTCCATCCCGAGACAGTCCCCGCGGCTGAGCCCAGACCTGCCCCTCTATCCTGACACAGTCTCTGCAGCTGAGACCAGACCCATCATCCCATCCTGAGGCAGTCTCCGCGGCTGCACCCAGAGCCGTCCCTCCATCCCGAGACAGTCCCCGGGGCTGAGCCCAGAGCCATCCCCCCATCCCGTGACAGCCTCTGCGGCTGCGCCCAGAGCCCTCCCTCCATCCTGAGTCCCCGTGGCTGCGCCCAGAGCCGTCCCTCCATCCTGCCACAGTCCTGTGGTTAAGGGCCTTCTTGGCAGAAGACTGGGACCGGACCACCTCTCTGGAGAGGACACAGCCATAGCACTCCTGGGTCACCGGACAACTGGAGAACAGGCCGACAGCTGAGGAAAAGGAGAGTGACCGTTGGTTGAGGCTCCCCAGGCCTCCTCTCCAACGTGGTTCCCAGAATGTGGAAGACCCGCCTTGGCATGATCTGACCAGCTCAAGAGGAAAATTCAAAAGAGAATGATGTTGGATTCTCCCCAGTAAAAGAGTCCAGGAAGGCTGCCTCAGTGCAGCTACAGTCAACAAGTCCCGCCCTGTGCCCAGCACTAGAGTGGGCATGGGGCATTTTTGGTTGTCATTTTTGGTTGTCACAGCCTGGGGGTGCTGCTGTCACCCCACAGGCAGAGTCTGGGGTGCTGCTTGGCACCCAGTAACACACAGGGCAGCCCCTCCACAAAGGATTTTCTGGCCCCAAATGTGGAGAGTGCTGAGGCCCCGGGGGGGATGCATCCCCAGAGCATCAGTCCTGCGATTCCTGGAGTGCGTGCCCACCATGGAGGTGACCACCTCTGAACCCGCAATGTCCCTTGCTGGCAGGTTTCATGGCCCCCGAGCTCCTGCAGGGCGAGGAGTACGACTTCTCCGTGGACTACTTTGCCCTGGGGGTCACCCTGTATGAGATGATTGCGGCCAGAGGACCCTTCCGAGCCCGTGGAGAGAAGGTAGGAGGCGGCCGGCAGGTGTCTCTGCAGCCACCTTGGCGCCCTGGCTCTCGATGGGGACGGGGCAGTGATGGGATCGTTACTGGGGCAGACCTGGGAGTTGTTCTGTGGGCCCTGGGGTGGGGAGGGCACAGATTCACGTGCTGGGGTCTTGCTCCTGGGCCATGCTGTTCTGTCTCAGTGGGTGACGCCCCCAGCCCCTGAGGCCTGCAGGTGGAGGGGCTGAGGGATTCCCAGTCACCCTGTGCCCCAGAGCAAGCAGACCCTCCCACCAGACAGCACGCCACCACTCAGCCTCTGAGGGCCCTGTGGGGGCCGGTCCCTCTGGTGCAGACCGGAGGAGGGAGGGCGACTTATCCCACTGTTGCCCCAGACCCTGGGCAGTGGGACAAACCACCTTTTGTGGTTTGGGGTGGAGCTTCATCCCCTGGGGACTGGCGAGGCTGAGGCTGGGGCTCTGGGGGACACGGAGTCGGCTCCCCCTCCCTGGACGGTCTTATCCATCGCTGTTGCAGAAGAGCAAGCTCCCCTTCTTCCCAGACACCAAGAACCCACAGCCCATGGTGGGCCCAGCAGCTGCTCTGAATGTCCCGGAGTGTGGACACCTAGTGGGGCTGCTGGGTCTCCCCTGAGTGCCCCCTGGGCTGCCCCGGATCCTAGGCCACCAGAACTGCAAATAGGGATAACATTGGGAGGTGCCAGTCCCTTATTCAAGACAAGTGGAGAAAAGCTGGCTTTTTCCCTGTGAGGCTGACTCAGAGCTCAGGGCTGGGGCTGCCTCTCGTTGGACGGAGGGGGTGGCCGCACGGAGCCAGAAGGCCACCGTCTCAGAGTTGCATCAGGCTGCCTTGAGGTGCGGCTCTTCCCTGGCCACCCATCGCCCCCTCAATGCCACCTGGGCGATGCCCACCCCTCTCCCTTCTGACTTCCCTGGACATGTGACCTGTCCTGCCAGGACAGGTTTCAGAGCAGAGTCGTCCCAGGACCACTAGCACGCCCGTGGTCACTCTGTGTCTGTGGGACGTGGCACAGGCGTGGGCTGCCAGGGCAACCCGTGGGAGTAGCGTCAATGGCCTGATCCGGGGGCCTTGGGGACTGAGCAGCACCCTTCACACTGTACCCACTGGTGGGGCCTCTGATGGGGAAGTGAGACCTTGGCAGCACTCCTGAAGACAACAGAGCCACCGAGGCTTCCGTCCACCGTGGTGGAGTGAAAACGGAGGCTGCTTCTCAGCTGGGCCCGCGCTGGCCTTCAGTTTCCTATCTTTCCTTCCTTGGTGGGTGCGGCTGTGCTGGGGGTGGGTCAGCCAGAGTCCCCAAAATGCACGGCACCCACCTGTGGCTCCTGGGAGCTTCGCCTTTAGGATTCCATTCCTGAGACTGGAGCCTCAAACGCTGCTGTGCTGGGGAGGGGCACAAGGCCTCATGGGTCCCCCACCCGCGTGGGTGAGCGGTGGCTCTTGTGGGAGGAGCTGTGGTCTGGTCTGACCACCCAAGAGAGGCGGGTCTGGCAGGGCTAAGGCTACGCGTGTCCCCACAGGTGGAGAACAAGGAGCTGAAGCACCGGATCATCTCAGAGCCCGTGAAGTACCCTGATAAGTTCAGCCAGGCCAGCAAGGACTTCTGCGAGGCGCTGCTGGAGAAGGACCCGGAGAAGCGCCTGGGGTTCAGAGATGAGACCTGCGACAAGCTCCGTGCCCACCCCCTCTTCAAGGACCTTAACTGGAGGCAGCTGGAGGCTGGTACTGTTGGACGCCTCAGCCCCGGAGAGGGTGGGGTTCTGTGCTGTGTGGCCCTTGGGTGTCCGCCCGGTCCAGCCTGTGAGAGTCGGCAGGGAGGAGTGCCTCAGACCCCCAAGGCTCTCCCTCTGCCCCCAGCAAGGCCCCCAGTCCTCCACTCATCATCCCAGCCCCAGGACAAGCCGATGGAGCCGGCATCGGGCCAGAGGGCTCTGGGTGCAATGGGAGGCAGGAAACACACTGGCCGCACTGGGGCCTCGAGACCCAAACCTTCCACCACGTCCCCTGGTGCTGGAGGGAGCCCAAGATCAAATGGAGGCCAGTGGCTCAGGCCGTCTGCCGGGGAGAAAGTCATCCACCCACCAGCACTTGCTTGACAAGTGGATGCGGAAGATACTATGTGCGCGCGTGTGTGTATGTGTGTGCACGTGTGTGTGCATGTGTGCGCGTGTGTGCATGCGTGTGCGCGCACGTGTGTCCATGTATGTGTATGTGTGTGCATACGTGTGTGTGCATGTGTGCGCATGTGTATGTGTGTGCATACGTGTGTGCTCATGTATGTGTGCATACGTGTGTGTGCGTGTGTGCACGTGTGTGCATGTATGTGTGCATACATGTGTGCGTGTGTGCGCACGTGTGTGTGCGCGCGTGTGTATGTGTGCATACATGTGTGTGCGTGTGTATGTGTGTGCATACGTGTGTGCATGTGTGTATGTGTATCTGTGTGCATACGTGTGTGCGTGTGTGTGCACGTGCGTGTGCATGTGTATGTGTGCATACGTGTGTGCGTGTGTGCATACGTGTGTGCGTGTGTGTATGTGTGCATACAGTGTGCGTGTGTGCATGTGTGCATACGTGTGTGCGTGTGTGTGCATACGTGTGTGTGCGTGTGTGCGCATGTGTGTGCATACATGTGTGTGCGTGTGCGTGCATGTGTGTGCGTGCGTGTGCGTATGTGTGTGTGCATACGTGTGTGTGCATGTGTGTGCGTGTATGTGTGTGTGTTCATGCACTTTTGCATCTGAGACACAGCCATACCCTCTAGGACCCTGTGGTCAGGTGGAAGGGTCAGGCCACGTGCAGTGTGACTAACTTAGGACAGGGCCACAGGTGACCAGGGAGCAGAAGACCCCCCAAACGAGAAGTCGCTTTCGTATGTTAGGGTCACAGCAGTGACTGCCAGACAGGTGCCCTGGGCAGGCCCAGCGAGGCAAGGATGGCTGTGGTCAGGGAACCCAAGGGGGCTCCAAGGGGTCACAGGATGAGGAGGGGACCCCGCCCGCCCTGTAAGGAAGTCTGAGCCACAGAAGGGTTTGAGCCCAGAAGTGTTGAGGTCAAAGTGAGGCTGAGGAGGAACCACACGGCGGCTGTGCAGTGTCTGCTGGCACTGGGAGGTGGTCCTGAGGCCGTCACAGAGGCCGTCTGGGGGCCAGCATGGGCCAGCCGGGTCAGGGTCGGTGCACCGAGAGGAGAGTGATGTCTGTGACCGGCTGTGCCTGGCCATCGGGGGCCGGTGCGTCAGGGAGGGACGCTGGTTGGAAGGAAGCTGCCAAGTTCACTGGAGCGTGTGCTTGAGTGCCTGGGGTCTGGGGTCTGCAGAGTGCGCAGGGGAGGCCCTGGTGGGGATGGGGCCCCAGGGGAAGGCGTGTTCGGGGAGGAGACCGCTTCATGACGAGACCCTAGGGGAGGCTCCCAACAAGGCAGATGTGAGCGCCAGGTCCTTTCACAAGAAGGCTCCAAAATGAGCCCTGGGATCTCAGGCTTCTTCCGGCCCCACTCAAGCCCCAGCTGTGTGGTCTCAGGGGAACCCAGGGGCCTTCTGGGAACACTGGGCTTTCTCTCTCAGCCTCCACGACACTTCCCTAAGGAAGAGCGGCCCCAGGCCTTTGTGCATCTGGGAGCCATGGGGGAGGGGGCTTTTTGGCTAAACGGCGCTTCCTTCCCACCACGAGGAGCCTGGCGTCTGTGTTTTCTGTCTCCCACAGGGATGCTGATGCCCCCTTTCATCCCAGACTCCAAAACTGTCTACGCAAAGGATATTCAGGACGTGGGTGCCTTTTCCACCGTCAAAGGTGTGGCCTTTGACAAAACAGACACAGAATTCTTTCAGGAATTTGCCACTGGCAACTGCCCCATCCCCTGGCAGGAGGAGATGATCGAGACGGGCATCTTTGGCGAGCTGAACGTGTGGCGCTCGGACGGTCAGATGCCGGACGACATGAAGGGCATCTCCGGGGGCTCCAGCTCCTCGTCCAAGTCAGGGATGTGTCTGGTTTCCTAGGTGACGCCCCAGAGTCCACGTGGAGGAAAAGGACCCATACGGCTCGATGGGGGCCGCCTGCCTCCGTGGTGCCAGCCTGGGGTCTGCTAGCAAGGGGACACGTGGTTCCCTCCACCCAGGTCCCCATCACGCCATCTCCTTGCGGCCCAAGGAGGAGAAAGCCCACATCGGCCTGAGCCGCCAGACGCACATGCTGGTGCCGTGAGCCCCCGACTGCATATTTCACGTCTTTTGCTCCATCTCACTGAGAAGACATAAGATGCTCTCCAGAGGGAGTAAGCCAAAAATCTACAAACTCTTAGGGAGCCTCCTGCATTGGTGATTGACCAACCGTGTGGTCAGGGGCAGAGACTCGGTTTTGGCCTCCCAAGACCTTAGCCATTGGCTTCCCAGAGCCACGCTCCTCAGCGGGAGGTGCACGGTGGCCAGGTCAGGGGTCAGTGAACCCTGGCCGCAGCCCCTGGCCCCACTGGGGAGGGCTGGACCTCGCCCCCCCCAGGTCCCTCTGTGCAGGCTCCTGACTTCCAGGGTGCCCGGGCCCTGTGCTGGTGGCCTGCACGCCACATGGTCCCCTGCACCCTGCGGCGCCGTGGTCCTCTGCACACTGGGGCACCATGGTCCCCTGCACTCCGGGGTGCCATGGTCCACATCTGCCAGGCGCAGGCTCTGTTGGGCTGTTGGGAGGAGGGGAGCGGGTGTGGAGTCTGGGGGTCTCAGTGCATCTTGGGGTCTCCTTATCTCAGGGTGTCCAGCTGACGGCAGCTGGTGCAAAGTTCCCACCCCTGAGCTGGGGAGCTGAAAATGTTTTCTGTCTTGACCCTGAGTCCCGGAAGCACCTCAGCTGCTCTTGGCGGGCAAAGCCAGGACCGTTTGCTCTCTGACCCTCCTCCCCACTGGGGCTGGTCCGTCTCATCTCCCAGGGGACACTTCAGGCCACGGGCCTTGTGCATAGGGACAGAGCTCCTTGCTGCAACCCCTCTCTGTGTTCCCAGTAGCAGCAGCACTGGAGTCCTAAAGCCATAGCCCGGGAAGACACTCACAGCCCACCTTCTCATACAGCTCGGCCCCACCCACAATGCACCTGGCATTTCCAACTGCACTTTGAACACTGAAGGTTCCCCAAATGCTTTGTGTGTTTTAACTGCAGGAAGTTAGTTCTGTTGCAACTGCCTCCAGGACACACTCCCTCTTGAGGGCCGGCGGTGCTGGCCTGGGTTCCATGGCCTCAGCAGCCGGCTCAGAGGGAGTGCATCCAAGCCGCAGGGAAGCAGTGGTGATGGGCGGCCTGAGGACTCCTTTCCAGAGAGGGCCTCTGAGCTCCTTTTAGGAAAGAACTTCCTTTGAGCCCCGGCCACTGTTGTACCAGTGGGAGAAGAAGCCTGACCCTGCCACATGTGGTCACGGGGAGAGAAGATGGTAGGACGTCCCCGTGAGCCTTGGGGCAGAGCTGGTGGTAGAAAGAAGCCCTGTCTACTCTAATTTGGTGAGAGGGGCCGCGGCAAGTGGCTGATGATGTGACTGATGGAGACAGGGTGGCTTGGGAAGGTCCCACTTGGGGGTGTCACGTCCTGCAGGGAGTGGAAGAGATGGATCCTCCGTAGCCTGGACTGGTGGGTCTCGGCCTCTCTCCCAGAAATGGCAGAGACAGCTGCCTGAGAGTCAGTGCTGCAGTGGGCAGGGCCTATGCCCTCACAGTCCTCAGGCTGCCAGGTCGTCCTCTTCCTGTTGGGGAGAAGAGGACCCTGGCAATCCACAATTTTGGAGATTTGCTGGCTGCAGCCAAAATGGGGACCCAACTCCCTCCTATGTGGTTTTAGAGCTTCTGGAGGGAAGATAGGCCACGCCCCTGGGTGAGGAGCACGTCTTCCCACAGATCCTAAGTCGGCCACACCCTGGGTGAGGAGCACGTCTTCCCATAGGTCCCACGTCAGCCACACCCTGGGTGAGGAGCACGTCTTCCCATAGATCCCACATCGGCCACACCCTGGGTGAGGAGCATGTCTTCCCATAGATCCCACGTCGGCCACACCCTGGGTGAGGAGCACGTCTTCCCATAGATCCCACATCGGCCACACCCTGGGTGAGGAGCATGTCTTCCCATAGATCCCACGTCGGCCACACCCTGGGTGAGGAGCACGTCTTCCCATAGATCCCACGTCGGCCACACCCTGGGTGAGGAGCATGTCTTCCCATAGAACCCACGTCGGCCACACCCTGGGTGAGGAGCACGTCTTCCCACAGATCTCAACAGAACTCCACATCGTCTGGTTTTGTGGAGACTTTCATATGTCCTGTCAAGTTGCCTCATGCACCTGCAGACTGTTCTTGGGAAGCAAACCTGGACTGCAAAATAAACCTCCCGGCCTCCTCCTGTCCTGGCTCTGAGCGTCTGACACTTCTGAGACCTGGGATGTTCAGGAGGAGCTGTGGGGCGTCCAGTGCTTTTTGACATAAAACTACCCATCCAGGTGCACCTGAGCAGGCGCAGGCAGGCACAGGAGGAGGCCCGTGGGAAGCGGCCTGCAGGACAGATTTCCGTGCCCACTCTTTCTCCTTCCTTCCTTCCTTCCTCCTTCCCTCCCTTCCTTCTCTTTCTTTCTTTTCTCTTCTCTTCTTTCCTTCTTTCCTTCTCTTTCTTTCTCTTTTTCTTTTTTTCCTTTCCTTTCCTTCCTTCTTTTCTTTCTTTCTTTCTTTCCTTCCTTCCTTCCTTCCTTCTTTCCCTCCCTCCCTCCCTTTCTGTTTCTTTTCTTTTCTTTTCTTTTTGAGACAGATCTCTCTCTGTCACCCAGGCTGGAGTGCAGTGGCACAATATCAGCTCACTGTAACCTCTGCCTCCCGAGAAGCTCAGGTTCAAGCAATTCTCCTGCCTCAGCCTCCCGAGTAGCTGGGACTGCAGGTGCCTGCCACCATGCCTGGCTAATTTTTTGTACTTTTAGTAGAGATGGGGTTTCACCATGTTAGCCAGGATGGTCTTGATCTCCTGACCTCGTGATCCACCCGCCTCAGCCTCCCAAAGTGCTGGGTTTTTGTATTTTTAGTAAGAGATGGGGTTTCACCATGTTGGCCAGGCTGGTCTTGAACTCCTGACGTCAGATGATCCGCCCGCCTCGGCCTCCTGTTTTGTTTTCTAGAATGTTACACATCGATTAGGTAATGGCTATCAGTCTCACTTCATACACTCTGGAACATGAAAGACTCCATTTCTGATTTTTTAAACCCATTTTAACCTGCCTTGCATTCCTATGGCCCTGGACAGGTAAGCAATCTCATCCTGGCTTCACTGGGATCAGGGGGCTTGGAGGGGCTATGAGTGGTCGCAGCAGTGGAGGGAAGCCTGGCTCCCGGTGCCAAAGAGCCCCGTGGCCCCCCCAGGCCCACCAGCAAGACCCTCTGCCTGTTTTAGGGCTGGGTTGCCAGACACGATACAGGACATCCCAATGAATTTCAATTTCAGATAAATAAGGAATCATTTTTTAGTGTAAGTCTATCCCATGCAGTGTTTGGGACATACTTGACCTAAAAAATGATTCATCATTTTTCTGAAATTCAGATTTAATGGGATGTTCCGCAGTTTTCTTTTGGTTAACTCTGGCAAGCCTGTTGCAGATTATATATTTATCTGTAAGATCAGCAGTGGTTCCACTGCACAGGCAACCTGTTGGGATAAAACCACAAAAGCAGCTTCGTTTTTGGCTTCTGCCATCTCTTGGGTCAGTTGAGTGGTGTTTTCACCCCTCGATGAAACTCATGCTCACCCCATGCATTCATACAAGGCATTCGAAAGCCCTATTGTCACTTTATTTTTTATTTATTTTTTTTTGAGAAGGAGTCTTGCTCTGTCGTCCAGGCTGGAGTGCAGTGGTGCAATCTCGGCTCACTGCAAGCTCCGCCTCCCGGGTTCACGCCATTCTCCTGCCATAGCCTCCCAAGTAGCTGGGACTACAGACGCCCGCTGCCATGCCTGGCTAATTTTTTGTATTTTTCAGTAGAGACGGGGTTTCACCGTGTTAGCCAGTATGGTCTCGATCTCCTGAGCTGGTGATTTGCCGGCCTCGGCCTCCCAAAGTGCTGGGATTACAGGCGTGAGACACGGTGCCCGGCCTCTTGTCACTTTATTTTTAAAAACTTCTAAATCTTTGTGTCCCATGGAGAAAATACATCACGAATGCTGAGTCAATGATCCTACGGAGACACCCCGGCGGGCCCTGCCCAGTTCTGGAGCTCTGACACTGCCTGCCCCCGCCTGTTTGCTCCCCACCCAGGCAGCACCAGCCTCCTCTCAGGGGCTCAGTGTGCGTGGCCCCATAATGGTCACAGCTCCACATGCGATGAGCTTTGGTGCCTCCGTTCCCGCGGGGCTGCAGTGTCTGACGGTGGCGGTGCATGTGTCTCATGCCCACCTGCCTGCAGAGTGGCCCTGCTTCCTGTGGCCAGCCTCGGCCTCTGGCTCTTCAGGGCTGAGCTGGGATGAAGGAAGGCATCCAGGGCTATTCTTGCCTGCCTGGTGCTGCTGCACGTGGCTCGGTGCCCTCCGGGCAGATGTCTCTATGGACTCTTCATCTGGGCCCTCTGTTGTGGGCAGTCTTGGGGTTTCAGGCCCCTGAATCTGGGCAAATACTCTCTCCTCAGCGGGGACGACCCCCTGCTGCCCTCCCTGGGCTCTCTCTCGGTGCTGCCTGGACCAGCAACACCCCGCTCTGCTGCCCAGGCAGCCGTCTGGCCGGTCTGGGTTTGTAATCTCCCTTGGGGTCAGCAAAGGATGGGACTGCACATCAAGAGGCCCAGGCATCTGGGCATCTGGCTGCAGTGAGGCAGGCATAGGTGCACCCTCTGCAGAGAAGCTCTCAGCTTCAATCCTCTTATCCTCAATGTAGGCCACGGCCCCCTCAGAAGCCCATGGGAATCCCTGCAAGGTGGCTTTGTCTCATCTGCGGAGTTGGCTGATGCGATCGGCTCATGCTGGGGCCAAAAACATGGCAAGAAACGTCCCACTGTCAACCTCCCGGGCAAGCGTGTGCACCTGCAGCTCAGGGCCAGCCCACCACACTGCCTTAGTGACACTGCAGCCGGGGGAGCCACAGGCCGCCAGCAGGCTGAGGAACAATGCCGTGTGACCTTTCCTTTTGTAAAAAACAAAAACTGCAATTTTTATTCAAATAAAAAAAGGGTAAAAATAAAAGTTAATAAGGAAGAGTGAGTCCCTGGATTGTGATATGATTTCCAAGTCACATACTTTCCTTCAGAATTACACACAGGTGCACACATGCGCACACACACACACCTCTACACACATACATGCATGCGACATGCCTTCATTTTCATCTCCATGTAGCTGGCAGACGTCAACATTGTCGGTCAGGGCTGAGTCCCCAGCGTCTGCACTTGCTCACGCGTCCTCCTTGTTGCAGTGAGCACCGGGAGCTTCACCCACATTCACACTGGCTCAGGGCTGTCCTGCGGGAGCTGCCTGCTTTCCCTCTGCCTCTGGCCTCCTCCCCTGGAGGAGAAACGGCTGGAGCTGCAGGCATCTCTCCCGTCCCCTCTGCGCTGCGGTGGTGCTAGGCACTCCCATGAGGGCTGGCAGAGAGAAGGAAGCCAGGGCTTCCCAGGAGAGACCGTGGAGCTCAGCATGGATGCATGAGAGGCCGTGGAGCTCAGCGTGGATGCAGAAGAGGCCGTGGAGCTCAGCATGGATGCATGAGAGGCCGTGGAGCTCAGCGTGGATGCATGAGAGGCAGTGGAGCTCAGCGTGGATGCAGAAGAGGCCGTGGAGCTCAGCGTGGATGCGTGAGAGGCCGTGGAGCTCAGCGTGGATGCGTGAGAGGCCGTGGAGCTCAGCGTGGATGCAGAAGAGGCCGTGGAGCTCAGCGTGGATGCGTGAGAGGCCGTGGAGCTCAGTGTGGATGCCTGAGATGCTGTGGAGCTCAGCGTGGATGCGTGAGAGGCTGTGGAGCTTAGCGTGGATGTGCCTATGGGGCCAGCTGGCCTCTGGGGAGGGCCGTGCCAGAGACAGCCTTGCAGGAAATTTGGGGCCGGTTCTGATAACTCCAGCAAGGGCTGCAGGCTCAGCACTTCTTATTTTATTCCTTTACTCAACTATTTATGATATTGTCAGAGTGGCGGTTCTTTCTTTTTTCCTGTCTGCGGTCTGTGGGTTTGCTGAGTATGGAATTACCTCAATGTGAGCTCCACCACAGCGAGTCCTCGAAAAGCTGGCAGTCTCTGGCTGGGGCCCATTGTGTTTTGTTTTACAATGGGGGTCTGTCCCCTCTGTGAGTGTTTAGACACGTAAATGGGCCTCAATTGCAAATAAAATGTACAGATTACAGGCATTATGCCAGTCAATGGAAGAGCAGTTTTGAAAGAAAACCTCAATCTGATAACATGAAATTACAAATAAATATGAGATTGGTTCTCAGTTTCTATCTAGGCAATTTAAAATGGATATAAGAAGCCTTGATTTGATTTTTAAAAAACCAAGCCCCAATCCCCCAATTACAGTAGTGAAATGTTCTTCCAAGTTCAACCTTTTTATTTGCAAGACAAATGAGCTGAAGGCTGAATGTTACCAAGGGTGAGGCATTGTGCTGGGGTTTGAGGACGACAGCATGGAGAGCGATGTACCTGGCATTCTCCCGCTGGCATGGGTGGGATGGCTCACTGAGCCTCAGCTCTCGGTCCCTGGCATTCTTCGGCTGGCCTTGTGGGGGCGACTGGCTGAGCCTCAGCTCTTGTCCTGTCACGTGGGTCCCAGGAGCCCCACTGCCACCCTGGCCTGTCAGTATCCAATATGCACTGTGTGCTTGGAGGCGAACTGTCCAGCGGGTCTGGTTTCACAACTGCAAAGGGCGTGGCTCTCTCCCTGCAGTGGGGTGATGCAGAGGCTGCTGCACTCTGCACTTTAGAAAAATGCCGCCTAGAACAGGAGGTGCTGGTGAGCCGCCGTTGCCCGGCTCAGGGCTGCGAGAGGGTGGGCTTCAGGCTTCCCGGGGGGTGTAATTCTGCCTTTCCTGCTGGGAGCCCTGAAGAGGTCCCCGGTCACATGGTGACAGAGGCCTTCTAGCAAAGTGCAAGGAGTGTGTTTAATTTTTAAAAATTCATGTCTCTGGGGGCACCTCCTGTCCCCTTCCTGCCCTCACCCCACACCCTGTACAGACAGGCGGGGCGGCCCCTCCCGCTCCCTCATGGCTCGGCTTACGTTATTCATCCCCTGCTCCATTTCATGGGCATTTTGTTACAGGAAGGGTCATGTTTTGCTGCCAGCACTACTGATCCCTGAGAGCTGAGAGCCAGGCCACGTGCACACACGGGTGCCTCAGCAACGACTCCCACCTGAGCTGGGGCCAGGATGCGGAGGCTCTGAACAAACGGGAGGAACTGAGCTTCACAGTTCACGTAACTGCCACCTTCTTAGAGCCCACGTCATTGTCTGAGTCTTGTTGACTCACATCTGCTCAAGCCAATGGGTATTCCCAGCAGTCAGGCCCCCGTGGGTCCCCCATGTCCTCTGCCCAGCGGCCGTGGTGGGTATGGGTAGGAGAAGACCAGGCGTCCCCGTGGCCTCGGCCCAGCAGGTGCTGGTCTGAGTTTGGCAGTTTGGCCTGTATGGTCCTCCTGCAGCTTTTGTTCAGGGAGTGCCTCCTGTGAGAACTGGGGCGAAGGTCCCTGCCCTCAACGAGCTTCTTTTGAACTCAGTAGTGCCTCGGCCACCACACCCCCAATTCCTCCTGCCCTGCTTTTATGCAAAAAAGCCTCAGCTTTTGACTCTTAGAGCTCCAGGGGAGGCCCATTCCCTTGGCAGGTCCCAGCAGCTCCTTCCCCCAACAGGGCTGTGTGGTTGGGGAGGCCCCTCTCCCCAGGTGGAATCAAGGCTAATCGCCTGCCCTGATGGCCCTATCGGGTGAGTCTGGAATCATCCTGATCATTTTTCTGGAGGCTGCATGTACCTTCTTCCTCTGCTTCCTCCCCTGTTCCAGTGGGGGCCAGTAGAATCTGGGGCTCTAGGGAGGGGTCCGTGTGGGAGCTCCAGGCAGGTCTTTCTGTTTTGGTTTCTCCAAAGTCTAAACCCTAAGGAGAAAGAAGCAGGGAAAGAGGAAGAAGGGGATTCACAGGCCTGCGCAGAAAACTAGGAAGGGCTTCCCTGGGGAGGACGGGACGGAGAGAGGGTGGCAGAGCTGGAGCAGGTGATCTCAGCGGCTCCCCAGCCAGGCCTCACTGCAGACTTGGGGGCGCAAGCACCGGACCACACAGCACGCCCACCCTCACTGTGGCCGGAAGATCAGAGGCATGCTGGCCGTGAAAGGCTGCCTGAGCCCCACAGTGGACACTGTGGCAAGTGTGGACCAATGGCCGATGTCTCAGCCCCACCCACTCCGGCCACCACGACACTGCACAGCCTGGACCCAGGCCAGTCCCTGTGTGAGCGTGTGTGCTTGGTGGCGTGTGTGTGCAGGCCTTGTGTGTGTGAGCATGTGCACTCTCAGTAGTGCGTGTGTGAGCGTGTGCATATGTGTGGGGGCGCCTGTGTGTGTGAGGGAGGCCCACGAGGTTGGCAGGCAGACAGGGGTGGGGGTGGGAGGAGAGGCACTGTGCCCTAAGACCAGCCTTGGGAGGGTGGGAGGAGAGGCGCTGTGCCCTGGTGTCTGGGGCCTGGGCCTGCCCCTCCTGGAGCTTGGGGTGGGTACTGGACGGGTTCTGGGACAGGGCGTCTTCCTGGTACTCATGCTGGAGAATCTACTGTGGGCCGCAGGAGGAAGAGGAGCTGCGATGAGGTGTTGCCAGGGCCAGGATTAGGGTTAAGGTTAGGGTTTGCCCCAGAGCCTCCTGGAATTCTACCCACTCAGCACCATCCTCCAAGGCCTGACAAATGCAGCCTCTGCCTGGAACCACTGTGGACCCCCAGGGAGTGGCTCACCAGCTGCTCCTCTCTGCCCCCCGGGGAGTGGTTTCACCTGCTGCTTCCCCAACCTCAGGGAGTGGCTCACCTGCTGCTCCTGTCCGCCCCCCCGGAGAGTGGTTTCACCTGCTGCTCCCCCCACTCCAGGGAATGGCTCACCTACTGCTCCCCTCCACTGGGAGTGGTTTCACTTGCTGCTCCTCTTCGCCCGCCCCCAGGAGTGGTTTCACCCACTGCTCCCCCCCGAAGGGAGTGGTTCACCCACTGCTCCTCCTGCTTGCCTGGGAGTGGTTTCACCAACTGCTCCTTCTCCCCCCAGGGAGTGGTTTCACCTGCTGCCCCTCCGCATCACCCCAAACTCACCCGCTGCTCACCCCCACCACCCCCTGCAGGCCTGGCTACTTAGAGAACCACCTGGGGAGCTTCAAACATCCACCCCCTCCAGCGACTGATGTGCGGGGTCCGGCTGGCCTGTGTCCTGAGTATCTGGGTCCTTAGCCCCTGGGGGACCCTCAGGCGAGGCCACGGTTGACAACCCCCTGCCTGATGTGTTGATCGGTCAGTGAGCTCCTGGTCTGCACACGGGCCGGCCACATCCTGGACTTCCCCGTGAATTCTCCAGCAGGGCAGCCGTGTGGTGGGATGCTGTCACCGCTGTCTGCTTTGTCTCATCGTCTGTTCCATTTCTCTTGCTTCTTACTTCAACTGTGGATTCTTACAGGGCAGAACTGCACGAGTCATCTTTGCACCTTGTCTAGTGTCCTGCACGTAAGGAAATCCAATACATGTGTGTTGACTGAAAGATTAACTTAAAAGTGTACATACAGATAAATGCATGCTTTCCCATTTGGAAGATGTGGTTATGTTTTGACTCAGACTTACCTGGTTTATATCTTGTTTCTCCCATTAGCTATTTGACATTGAAAAAAGTTACTGAATTCTGCGTGCTTCTGTTTCATCATCTGTGAAATGGGCGCCACATGGCAAGGCTGGGATGAGGCAGAAAGTGAAAGTGGCAGCCACAGCGTGAGGCATACAGTAGGCGCTCCATCCACGCTCATCCCGTCTCCCAAACCAGCCACAGGGTGAGGCATACAGTAGGTGCTCCATCCACGCTCATCCCATCTCCCAGACCAGCCACAGGGTGAGGCATACAGTAGGCGCTCCATCCACGCTCATCCCATCTCCCAGACCAGCCACAGGGTGAGGCATACAGTAGGCGCTCCATCCACGCTCATCCCATCTCCCAGACCAGCCACAGGGTGAGGCATACAGTAGGCGCTCCATCCACGCTCATCCCATCTCCCAGACCAGCCATAGGGTGAGGCATACAGTAGGCGCTCCATCCACGCTCATCCCATCTCCCAGACCAGCCACAGCGTGAGGCATACAGTAGGCGCTCCATCCACGCTTGTCCCGTCCCCAGACCAGCCATAGGGTGAGGCATACAGTAGGCGCTCCATCCACGCTCGTCCTGTCCCCAAACCAGCCACAGGGTGAGGCATACAGTAGGCGCTCCATCCATGCTCGTCCTGTCCCCAAACCAGCCACAGCGTGAGGCATATAGTAGGCACTCCATCCACGCTCGTCCTGTCCCCAAACCAGCCACAGGGTGAGGCATACAGTAGGCACTCCATCCACGCTCGTCCCATCCCCAAACCAGCCATAGGGTGAGGCATACAGTAGGCACTCCATCCACGCTCGTCCCGTCTCCCAGACCAGCCACAGCGTGAGGTGCACAGTAGGTGCTCCATCCATGCTCATCCCGTCTCCCACACCCCAATTTGCCCAAAGCCTTCTGAAGGGTGTGGGAAACTTTCAGGAGTCTCTGTTGTTTCTGGGGCAACATCGGGGCTGTGAAAGGAAAATAAAATCTGGGGACTCCAATTCACCGCCAAAGGAAACCCTTAAAGCTGGAAGCTGAGCCCTGTGAGGAGAGGCCTTTCCTTGTGTTCCTGAGCAGGGAGCTGCCCAGCAAAGGCTCAGCGTCTTCACCAGCAGCTGCTCTGCGTTCCCCTGGCCTAGTGCAAAGTCCGACTTTCTGAGCCCAGGACAAATGCATCATTCACCATTGTCCTGCCTGTTCCTTTCTCCTGCAATGCATGGGTTCAGTCTCGCAACCAAACCTCCCTCTTTCCCCTCCAGCCTGCATTTCCCCTTTAAAATACTGAAACCCTCAAAATCATCTTTGGAGAAAGTCACAGAGCTCTCTCCCATGTGTGCCCTTAACCTTGGCAAATGAACCTCTCAATGGATTGAGGCCTGTCTCTCATGCTTTCTGGTTTACAGGGCCCATGTTCATGTGGAGAAAGTCAAGGTAGGAAACCTCAGGGCACTTTCATTTTCCTCTAGGCAGGAAGGAATCTGGAATTGGGAAGGACAGCAGGCATTTTTTCTAGCGGTTCTAGCGAATTATCTTCTTACCGTCAATAACAATTTATCCAGTCTCTCTAATTATCTTCAGTCCGGCGGAAGACAGATTTCCTCATCTAATTGCCTCTTGGAAGAGCTAAAGTAAATTAAATTTAAAAAAATACCCTGATCCCAGGTGACCGCCCCTGCCAAGCTGATCTGGGATTGCAGGAGAGGCGCTGTGGGCCACCAGCTTGGGGCCTGGGGCAGGAGCGGCTCCAGTGGCCAGATCCTAGCCAGCGTCCCTGCCCTGCAGTTAAGCACACGGGCTTTGGGGGTCCGTCCTGGGCCACAACAACCAACCTCCCAGAGCCTCAGTTTCTCGTCTTTGAAGGGGGACCGTGCTGAGATTGTTCAGGGATGGCTTTGGTTTCTGTTACTGAGGCTAAGGCCGGAGGTCCCGGCTCTCAACATGTTTTGCTCGTGTAGTCCTCAAAGAATTTTCAGAAATGTGCCATGTCAACTTTGCATCTAAAATACTTTTGGTTTAGTTGGAAAGGGCAGCAATGTACTCACATGCCGTTTAATGCATTTCCCACAGAACGGGGATCCACAGACGAGGTCCTTTCATCTCGGGGCTCATGGCAACACAGGCCGTGTGCGTGAGCCTGGTCGGTGCCTGAGTCTGCCCCGGCTCTGCCACTGCCTGCTGTGTGACCCTGGGCTGCTCACGCCACTGCCCGGAGCCTTGGCTTCCTTATCTTACACGGCAGTGGTGACAGCCCCTGACGCAAGGCTGTGGCGAGTTTGAACGTGGCGCCTGGAGCAAGGCTTGGCCGGAGTTCACCAAACAGACAAAGGCGACCTGGCTGGGGAGCCAGTCAAAGCGGTTGGCAGAACCGATCTGGCTTCTGTCAGAATTGTTAGGACGTCGGGAGGTGTCCAGTGATGACCCCTCCCTCTGGGTTCTCCGGCCCTGGCGGCTGGGCATGGATGAGGAGAAGGCTGGGCCCTGTGCGAATCCTCTGGGCACAGAATCCGCCGGGCACAGATTCCGCTGGGCACAGAATCTGCCAGACACAGAATCTGCCAGGCACAGACTCGGCGATTCTCCCCTGGAGCCCGGCCTTGCCCCATGCTGTGACTGCTTCTATGTTTGGGGCCCGAGGGTCACGCAGGGAGAGCTGCACCTCAGGGAGGCTGGGCTGGGGATGGGGTTGGCTCCTCTTGGTGGCAGTCGGGTGGGAAGGGGACGCAGTGGACCTGGGGCCCTGGACTCACCCAGATCTACTGTGGGAGAGATTGCATCTGGAAATCAGGGGTCTGGATGTGATTCCCTTAGGCAATTGCACCACCTGGAAAATGTTCGTACGCCCCCAGCATGGAGGTGTCCAAGACGCTGGGACCCTCAAGGTACTGTTGTGCGTCGAAGCCTAACACACACACGCTTATCCCATTACAGCTCTGGGGGCCCAAGTCTAAAACGGGGCTCACAGGGCTAAGAGGGAGGTGTGAGCAGGGCCACACTGCCTCTCCTGGCTCAGGCAAGAGTCAGCACCCCTGGCTCGCAGCCCTGCCCCTCCCTGACGCTGTCCTGCCATCATGTGGCCTTAGTGTCCTCTCTGGTCACACCTCCCTCCGCCTCCCTCCCTGGGGACCTCGTGGTTACATTCCGTTATCACTTGGACAGTCCCAGATCAGTCCCCGCCTCAAGGCCCTGACCCTAATCCCATCTGCAAAGTCACTGTCTCCGTAGCACGTCAGGTGCCCAGGGACAGGCACGAGATCCTGAGTGTGCTGGGATCTTCACTCAGCCAGGCACCCCCTCAAGCGAGGGACTGAGGAAGGAGTAGTAAAGGCCACCCAGCCACGCGCATAACCACGTTTCTCCCGTAAGATCGCGGTGCTGTGCTTTTACTGTGCCATTTCCAAGCTTGGATGTGTTTACATGCACAAATGCTTACTACAGCTCCTCCAGGGATCGGCGCAGGCACCTGCAGCACAGGTGTGCAGCCAGGGCCACACCGTGAAGCCTGGGCAGGCAGTGGGCCCTGCCCTCCAGCCGTGTGAGTCGCTGCGATGCTTGCACAGCGAGGGGAGCACAGCCATGGGAGCACAGCCACGGGAGCACCTCAGGACGCCTCCCTCAGCCATTGCTGTCCTTAGGCTTCTGTGGGAAGAGACTTAGGGTGTTGGTTCCCACCCTGGGCCCTGTTCTATCCCATTCCTGAGGGCCCAGGGACAGGGCTGTTCCCACGTCCGAGGAAAGCAGCTTCCAGGGGAGCAACGGAGGGGCCTGTCCCTGGGAGGGGCTCAGCCAGGCCGCAGGGACCTCACGAGGAGGCCTGGGATGAGGACACTCTCACCTTCCTCCGCCCCTTCATCTCCTGCTGGTGCCTGACTCTGTGGGCGCCCACGGGGCAGGCTCCGGGCCACTCCAGAGCGCAGGGCGGGTGGAGGAGGAAGGGTGTGGGGGCAGGTGGCGGGAACCACACAGGCCTCAGTGGAGCCGGTGCCTTCATCTCAGAGGTCCTCATGGCAGCACTGTTGCCCCAGGAGGTGTCTGGGGACATGTGTGGGGGTCAGGGTCTTGCTACAGGGCAGGGGCACCATGGGTGTTCGCCGTGGGGCTGGGAGGCAGAGCCTACACCTGGGCACAGTCCTGCAGACCTAGCACCCATGAGCCACGGCCGCCTCGCCTGCCCTCATGCTGGCCTCAGGTGCCCCTCACAGGTTGACACACCCGGCTTACTGTCCCCAGCACCACACTCCTCGGGGATGGCTGCGGCTGGCGTGGGTACTCTCTGCAGCTGTGCTGACCCCACAATGGGGTTGGCTTTGTGGGAGTCGAGCCCCATGTACGTCATCAAGGGCTTCCATGCCCTGGGCTATGTTGCTGCTGGTGGGACTGAGCCCTTGCTCAGACTGTGGGAAGAGCCACTTCAGGCCTCACCCAAGACAGCCCAGAGGCTGGAGTGGCCTCTCCCCACCAGGTCTGTGCAGGTCGGTGCCCCAGAGGCCCCGCTCACACAGGAACAGGGCGGCTGACTCCCTGCACCCCTGGGGGCCCCGTGAGGTGCTTCCTTCGAGGGTCATGGGGTGGAGTGGGCAGAGCACGGCTCCCAGGCGCAGGCCCGTGTGCCTCCCTCCAGCCCCCAAGTGCTCCTGGAAGTTTTCCCGGGGTCTCCACACATCTATTTATGTCTGGCCTGTTTGAAACAGGACCCAGCAGGGCCGTGTCCGGCACCTTGTTTATCTGCCCAGACTCTTCGGGCTGTGCATTTGTTGAAGCGTTGGCATCATTTGTTCCACAGAACAGCAGTTCTTCACGTGTGGTCCTTTGGGTGTTTTCAGGGGGGTCTCCAAGACCAGCACAGTCATCTCGGGCCCCTTGCCTTTTTCTCTGTGTTGACATTCGCGGCAATGGCAGAGGGCTGATGGTGGGACACCTGCTGGTGCCTGGGCCCAGATCAAGGTGGCTTTGAGCTCGTGAGGCTTCTCGCCACCATCGCCAGCAGCATTCGGCAGTGACGTTCCTTGTGATGGAGCTGGAGGTTTGCGCACAGTGCTTTGTGTGTGCCATGTGGGCGTCTGGCAGCCAAGCTGAACCAAGCTCCTTTATTCTTGCAACACCAGTTTCCATGGAACAAACAGCGAACAGCCCTGCATACCCAGGCTTGGGTGTTTTCCTGAAAACAACCAAGTAAGCCCATCCCTGTAAGGAAAACAGCTGGGAGTATCTGGCACCAATGATACAATGTTGAGCTTTCAAATGACAAGAGGAATTTTTGAAAACTTGTTTCTCGCATTGTGAGTGTGACAGCTTCCGAATAATTCTCCACATGACCAGCGTGTGATTCCTCAAAATCATGCATAGGTAAAAGACCCATTCAAAGAGCAAAGGGGGCCAGTGGATTTTCATGAACAAAACTCACGCTCAATGAATGCAGAAAGTTGTCTCCACACACAAGCATTTATGTGTTTGTGAATGTGTGTCTCTGTGTACGTGTGTGTGCATGCCTGTGTGTGCATGTCTGTGTGTGGTGTGAGTGCATGTGCACGTGTGTGCGCATGTGTTTGTGTCTGTGTGTGCATGTTTGTGCAGTGTGGTGTATGTGCGTGTCTGTGTGCCTGCATGCATGTGTACGTGTGTGACTGCGTGTGTGTGCGTGTGTGTGCACGTGTATGTCCATGTTTGTGTGTGTGCATGTGTATGTGAGTGCATGTCTGTGTCTGTGTGGTGTGTGTACATGTGTGCATGCATGTTTGCATTTGCATGTGTGCATATGTGCATGTGTGCATATATGTGCACGTGTGTATGCGCATGCTTGGGTGTGTCTGTACGTGTGAGTGCATGTCTGTGTGGTGTGTGTACATGTGTGCATGCATGTTTGCATGTGTACGCATGTGCACATGTGTGCATATACGTGTGCATATCTGCATATGTGCATGTATATACACATGTGTGTAGGTGCATATTTGTGTGTGCATGTGTGGTTGCATGACTGGTGTGTGTACATGTGTGTGCATGTACATGCGTGCATCTGTGCGTGTGTGCATGTATGTGCACACGTGTGTATGTGCATGTGTGTGTGCGTGTGAGTGCATGTATCTCTGTGTGGTGTGTGAGTACGTGTGCATGCATGTGTGCGTGTGCACGTGTGTGTGCGTGTGTGTGCATGGGCACGTCTGTCTCTGTGGTGTGAGTGCATGTGTGTGCATGGGCATGTCTGTGTCTCTGTGGTGTGTGTGCATGTCTGCGAGTGTGCATATGTCTGTGTCTCTGAGTGGTGGGTGCACACGTGAATCCTCCTCCTTGATGCTAGCTGCTCTTACCAGAGCCAGTTCTTGTGGGGAAGCTGAGTGCTCTGTAACTCCCGTGTCTCAGCTCCCTTGCGTGGCCCCTAGAGGCAGACGTGGGAGGAATGCCGCAGCCTCGGAGAACCAGGTCTGGCATTCTTGGTGCTGGTCCCAGGGTCCCGAGGCCTGCTTTCCACAGTCACGCTGTAGAGACGGCTCCTTGTGGAGACACCTTCTGTGTGCAGGCACGAGGTTTCTCCTCTGCCCCAGGCTTCGGTGCGGAGTGTCTGGGGGGACAGAGCCACCAGATGTGAACGCTGTGCTAGTCGCCCTCTCTGGTCTCTCCCTTGGCGTGGCCAGACTCCCCGGTGCATCTGGACATCGTGGCGGGCAACTGCCATTTACAGACACGGGAGGACGTTTTGCATGACCCGCCTTCTGTGTGTTTTCCCACTCTTTGCAAACCCATTGCTTTTCAGCTCGGAGAGTTGCTTTCCAGTTGTGCCAGCTCCGTGGCTGAGGAGGCGGTTTCTTTCCCGTTGTGCCGGCTCCGTGGCCGAGGAGGCGGTTTCTTTCCGGTTCTGCCGGCTCCGTGGCCGAGGAGGCGGTTTCTTTCGGGTTCTGCCGGCTCCGTGGCCGAGGAGGCGGTTTCTTTCGGGTTCTGCCGGCTCCGTGGCCGAGGAGGCGGTTTCTTTCGGGTTCTGCCGGCTCCGTGGCCGAGGAGGCGGTTTCTTTCGGGTTCTGCCGGCTCCGTGGCTGAGGAGGCGGTTTCTTTCCGGCCGCGCTGGCTCCGTGGCTGAGGAGGCGGTTTCTTTCGGGTTCTGCCGGCTCCGTGGCTGAGGAGGCGGTTTCTTTCGGGTTCTGCCGGCTCCGTGGCCGAGGAGGCGGTTTCTTTCGGGTTCTGCCGGCTCCGTGGCTGAGGAGGCGGTTTCTTTCCGGCCGCGCTGGCTCCGTGGCCGAGGAGGCGGTTTCTTTCGGGTTCTGCCGGCTCCGTGGCTGAGGAGGCGGTTTCTTTCCGGCCGCGCTGGCTCCGTGGCTGAGGAGGCGGTTTCTTTCCGGCCGCGCCGGCTCCGTGGCTGAGGAGGCGGTTTCTTTTGGGTTCTGCCGGCTCCGTGGCTGAGGAGGCGGTTTCTTTCCGGCCGCGCCGGCTCCATGGCTGAGGAGGCGGTTTCTTTCCGGCCGCGCCGGCTCCATGGCTGAGGAGGCGGTTTCTTTCCGGCCGCGCCGGCTCCATGGCTGAGGAGGCGGTTTCTTTCGGGTTCTGCCGGCTCCGTGGCTGAGGAGGCGGTTTCTTTCTGGTTCTGCCGGCTCCGTGGCTGAGGAGGCGGTTTCTTTCGGGTTCTGCCGGCTCCGTGGCTGAGGAGGCGGTTTCTTTCCGGCCGCGCCGGCTCCATGGCTGAGGAGGCGGTTTCTTTCCGGCCGCGCCGGCTCTGTGGCCGAGGAGGTGGTTTCTTTCCCGTTGTGCCGGCTCCGTGGCTGAGGAGGCGGTTTCTTTAAGGTCTTTTCTGTGCTGATGTTTTAGCTTTACTGAGATTTTGTTGCTTATCACACAATTCACCATTGAAGTGTCCTGGGCTGATCTGATGCCGATGGCCTCCGAGTCAAATGCTCTCTAAAGGAAATTCTCAGAAGATCTCCGGGGAAAAGCACACATAATTTATAGAATTAGAAAGCAAAGGATTTGTAAGACATCACAAGGAATTCAGTTACCAGTTAGGACTGGTCACCTCCAAACTTAAGTACAAAGAACTTATTTACTTCTTCCAAGGAAATTTATTTGGGGGATTTTTTATGTGGCCATGATGATGCTGTCAGTGGCCGAAGCTGCATTCTGGCAACTCCAGATCCTGGGTGACTTTGCCTAGCTCTGCCCGGCCTGGTGTTGCAGGAAATACGCTAATTCCAGGCACGGAAGCTGGGAGTGCATCCGGTCTGGGGAGACTTTGCCTTTCTAAGAGGCTCTCAGTGCTGTTGATGGTGCACATTCGACCTTTGAGACTTGGAGAAATCAGATTGCAGAAATGATGCAGAGCACCTGAGCAGAACCAATCTGGCGTGAGACACACACGCACACACACACACAATCAGGCGCACCCACCCACACATATACACACACAGGTACACAGTCGTGCACCCATCCACATACGTGCAGTCATGCACACAGCCCTGCACACAGACCTACACATACACATGCGTGCACACAGACATGCACACACACAGTAGGGGCCCTAAGCAGGCGTCCTTAGCCTTTCTGCTCTGAGCTCTGCAGCATCAGAACCTGCTGCCATAACTGAGCCAAGTGAACTCCTGAAGCAGGAGCATCCCCGGGCGTGGCAGGGGAGCGCCCACCACCAAGATTCTGCTGCTGTGCTCGGGGGCAGTTGTGCCTTTTCTGTTTTTCTTTCTTTCTATATTTCCAGGAAATCATGACATTAAAAATGACTTTTTCTTATGACGAATATTCATTGTAGGATATTTAGTGAAAATTCACACAATAAAAACTGTGATTCGTTTGTGCTCTCCGAGTTTCTGGGTTTCCTTGCATTTTTCTGGCAGCTTCTATTCTCTCTGGGTGCTTCCGATGCACACATCGCAGATCCCAGGATGATCTTCCTGCCTGGCACGGCTGCCTCCTCCACGCCACCCCTCATTACCTGTGGTCTAGGAAGACCACCAGTTCCCATTCCAAGCTGCCCAAATAGCTGCGAAATATCTGCTGAAGTAAGAGGAAAAGGTTCGTTATCTTTATTATCGCTTGTTCACCTTCCAGCCTCCCTGTAGTGAGGGTCCTGTCCTGACACAGTGATCCCTGTGGCAAATTCTATTTTCCCCAAATGACCACATCACCTTTCTATTTCCCACACACAAGGAGAGGCTCTTCCTTCTTCCTTTGAATTTTGTCACCGGGCTGCTGAAGAGAAGGCAGCAGAGGTGACACAGCGTGAAGCTGAGGCTGGGTTGCAGAAGGTGCCACAGACTCCACCCGGCTCTCTCTCTTGCCCAACGTTCCTGGGAGTCCAGCCCCCATGTCATGAGGAAGCCCACGTCACCTGGAGAGGTTACAGGCACAGCCACAGTCAGCCACGCGCCAGTCCTGGGAGCCACCCTAGCTCACCCTGAGTGGAGCAGAGGCAGGGTGTCCACTCCTGGCCTTGCCCAAATTTCAACTCCAACTAAATAAATGTGGTTTTTTAAGCCACTGAGTTATGGGGTCATTTGTCCCACAGTTGTAGTAACCGGAATGACCTCCAAGGACCTGTCCCACTGTAAAGATTGGCAATCCTATGACTTCTGTCTCCTGGACTCCTCCCAAGCCTGAATCCCTTCCCGGACGCTCACAGGTCGCAGCGTATCTTGGGTAACCCCATCCACTGCCCCCATCAAGCCAGCCCCCGACCTGTCTCCTGTTTCCCGGAGCTTGCTCAGAGATAACAGATTCATCCGATCCTCCAGGAAGGGCCCGAGCGGCCTGGCTCCCTGCCCTCCAGCTCTTAGCTCTGTGTGTCTCTCCTTGCGGGAGCCCTCCCTGCGACACCTCCCGCTGCCTCTCAGCGCTGAGCTTAACACGGTGGCATCACCTGGGAGGGCTCAGTCTTTCTGTCTCTTCTCCATCAGCCTCTGAGCTCCATCAGGGCCCCAGGTCAGTGATCACTCCTGTGCTTCCACAGCCCAGCGCCAAGCCCAGCCCTGCTCTGGGCCTGGACAATGCTCAGGACAGGACAGTGTGGGAGTCAGCCCCTGGCCCTGACCCTGGCTCTCGGAGCCAGCGCTGTTGCTTCCCTACCTCACTGGATGTTGCAGGAATGGGTTAGAGATCTGAGGACCACGGAAAGTTAGGGGTGAGGGGAGGATGAACCAGTCATGGGGAACCCCGGTATCTCTGAGTGAGTAGAGAAGGAAGGTGGTGCTGGCGGGAAGGAAGGACAGGTGCTGGCTGTGGGTTCCAGCCACTTCCGAGGTGCAGGCCTGGGGAGAGGAGGCAGGTGGGGCCTGCTCAGGGAGCCCCTGAAGAAGTTCTGAGTTGGCTGTGCTCCAGTTGGCCCCTGCACATTCCCCATGCCAGGCAGGCGCTTTTTCTCCTCTTTAAAAAGGCATTCCCTGAGCCTGGTGGAATGAGACAAACATGGAAATCCCTGGGCTGCTCTCAGTGGTGGAAGAGGTTGGGCACCCTGGCGGCTTAGGGTGGGACTCGGCCTGCAGAGCCAAGCAGGCGCCCTTTTTCCTCCTTTTCTTTTCCTTTCGTCCATTTAATTTTTAAAATATAACAGACTGTGGCCGGGCACAGTAGCTCTCGTCTGTAATCCCAGCACTTTGGGAGGCCCAGATGGGAGGATCACTTGAGCCCAGGGGTTTGACATCAGCCTGGGCAACATGAGGAAACCCCATCTCTACAAAAAGTATAAACCTTAGCTGGGTGTTGCAGCACACGCCTGTGGTCCTAGCTACTTGGGAGGCTGAGGTGAGAGGATCGCTTGAGCCTGGGAGGTGGAGACTGCAGTAAGCTATGATCATGCCACTGCACTCCAGCCTGGGCCACAGAGCCACAGCATGTCTCAAAAAACAAAAAAGTGACAGACTGCAAACAAAGGCACACCTGGGTAGAGGATGCACAGGAGCTCCTTGCACTATCCCTGCAAACCACCTTTAGGTTTGAAAATAGATAAAAATAAAAAGTTACAAAAAAGTAATCATCTATTTTAAACATCCAGAAAAGTATAGAGAATAATATAACATCCCTGTCCACACCATCTAGCCTTAATGGTATCTCAACATTCCCCCTTTTTTTACAAGTCTTTTAACTTTTTTAAAGAAAGAAGATTTCACAAATAGAGTTTAAGCCCCTAGACATAGTTCCAAAGCTGTTCAGCTTGTCCACCCAGACAGAGAATCACAGTTCTGGATGAAGCATGCACTCTCCCCCAGCATGTTCTTCTACTTTACTTACACAGTATCCATGCATCTACACACATGACTCACGGTGTCCATGTATCTGCACACACATGACTCATGGTGTCCATGTATCTGCACACACAAGGCGGTGTCCATGTATCTGCACACGAGACTCACGTCCGTGTATCTGCACACATGAGTCACGGTGTCCATGTATCTGCACACACGAGACGGTGTCCATGTATCTGCACACGAGACTCACGTCCGTGTATCTGCACACATGACTCAACGTGTCCGTGTATCTGCACACAGGACTCACGGTGTCCGTGTATCTGCACACAGGACTCACGGTGTCCGTGTATCTGCAAACATGACTCATGGTGTCCGTGTAATCACCTCCTACTGTTTCATCATATCCTATAACCAGTTTCTCAGCTTCCATTCTGCTATCCTACAACTACTCTCCAGTAATCCTATGTGTAGGACCCTCCAATAACCCCCACATCACTCGGAGCAAAGGCCAGAGGCCCTGCGGCTCACCCCTGATGTCCTCCACCTGGTCCCCACAAGCCTCTGGCACCCTGGTCTCCTTGCTGCTCCCCCTGGGCCTGGATGGCTCCACCCCAGGGCCTTTGCATGGAGGTTCCTTTTCCTCAGACCCTCTGCCCCAGATGTCTGGGTGAGCAACCACCTCCACGCCCTCAAGCTTGGTCTTCAACATCACCTGTCAACAAGCTCTCTTTTCACTACTTAAAAACCACAGCTCCCTCCCTCTCCCACACTATACTTTCTATTTTGTTTCTTTACCTCTCTTTCCTTTTTCTGTGGCCTGCATTACCTGGCTGTGTATGTATGTATGTGTGTATGTGTGTGTATGTATAAGTGTGTATGTGTGTGTATGTGCATGTGTGTGCATGTATGTGTGCATGTGTATGTGTGTGCATGTGTGTATGCATGCATGTGTGTATGTATATGTGCATATGTGCATGTATGCACGTATAAGTGTGTATGTATGCATGTGTGTATGTATGTGTATGTATGTGTGCGTGTATGTATGCACACATGTATGCATGTGTGTATGTGCATGTATGTATGCGTGCATGTATGTATGCACACATGCATGCATGTGTGTATGTATGCATGTGTATATATGCATGTGTGTGTATGTGTGTATGTGCATGCATGTGTGTATGTCTGCATGTGTGTATGTGTATATGTGTGTGTGTATTCCATAGCATGTTGCCCTCTGACATGCTGTGCATTTTTCTTGTTTATTGTATTATTATTCATGGCCTCACTTCCCCACCAGGATCCTTGTTTACGTTGCTCATTGATACATCCCAAGTACCTGGAACAGTGTCTGGTATATCGCGGATGTTTAGTAAGTCTTGAGAGGCTCACTGAGTGAACAGTGTTAATTTTCATGGTTTAAAACTTTATATAAATGGTACCATACTCGCTGCCGTACTTGCTGTCGTACTCGCTGCCGTACTGTGCACTTGCATTTTTGCTCCGCGTTCTGTTTTTGGCATTTATCCACATTGATCCATGTAGCTCTCATTTATTTTAACTGCCATGTGGTATTTCGCTGTATATGCCCATTTCTTTATCGCTTCTCCCCGTGTTGGATATTCAGGGTGTGTCCGGTGCTTTGGACACACAGTGTTGTGAGGAATATTCTGTACGCATCTTCTAGCACATGCATACTTCTTGTGGTAGTTTCTCTCTCACAGTGGATGGCCTATTAGAATGACTAGGGAATTCTTAGCTATTAGTTTGTTCCCAGAAGTTCTGGTTCAATTGATCTGGTCTGGGTTCAGTGCTGCAGAAATGTTTTTTCTTTTAAAGACATTCCTGGATGACTTTAACGACAGCCGGGGTTGAGAACCACGGCTCCTGGCTCGAAGGAGCAGATCTATGTTTGTGTTCTTGGGCATATCTAGAAAGAGATATGCTTTCTTTCTGGCTTGTCATCTACTTGCTTCAATTTTCCTAAAGGTTGCTTTCAAAGTGGTGGCACCATGCGTGATCCCAGCGGTGAATGCAGATTCCCACGTTTTCATTAACATTCTTTAAGTTGTTTGACCCTTGGGGTTTTCTGATAGGATGAGGGTGAAACGCATCCTCTTGTTCCCACAGCGTTCCCCTAATTCCGGGGGCTGAGTTTATTGATCGTTCAAGCATCTTCTTTTGTGACGGGACCGCTGATGTCCTTGACTCAAAGATGTTAAAAATACGTTTAGAAGGATCTTTATTTTTTCCTGCTGCTGTACGAGGCACCCTTTCTGGCCCCGTGTTTCCTTGCCCTTCTTTCCAGCAGCAGATTTTACTCAGAACAACTTCAGTGCTGTGGACACAAAGACGCAGGCCTTGGAGAGGCGGGTCAGCCCTGCCTCGGGGCTGCTGAGTGAGGTGCCAGATGCGTTTGTTCCTCATTTACTCATTTGCGTTTGTTCCTCATTTACTCGTTCCTCGCAGACTGGGTTGTAACACCATGTACCACCCTCTGAACCCAGAGATCAAGGGCTGGCTGGCCCTGTAGCCCCAAGGAGCTCCGTCACCGGCCAATGGGGAGGCGAACCCGTGGTGACCCACTCAGCGGCACCGCCAAGGGCTGAGCGTGGCGCCAGCGGCGGAAGGCCCGGGGTCACCGTCCCAGGCCGGGGCTCCGACCCCGAGTCCGCAGGGTCCTCTCCAGGCACCTTCCATCTGGGGTCTGGCTTCCACTCCCGGCCGCGGCGTCCTGATTTCCAGAAACCAGGCGGCCGCTGGAGGGGAGAAGGGGGAGCGGGCGCAGCGGGGGAGGGAGGAGAAGAAACGCCGGAGAAGGGAGAGTAGAGCGAGGAAGGACGCGAGGCGGGCGGAGCGCGGGGAGGTGCAGGGGGCGGGGAAGGGGCGGCGCCGCGAGGGCGGCTCCTGGCGGCGGGACTGTGGCTGTGGCCCCGGGAGAGCCGGGTGGGGCCTCGGGATGCAGCCGCCGGTGCCCGGGCCCCTGGGCCTGCTGGACCCCGCAGGTGAGCGCGGGGCTGGGGGCTCGTCTCGGCTCCTGCGGGGGAGCGTGGGGACCCCGGGGCTGGGACTACAGGTCCCCGGCCGGCCCGGGCGGAACCTGCGCGGAGACGCGGCACGGGGTCTGGTCCCTCCGCCTCCTTCGAGCTCTGTCTTTGGAACACTTTGCATTTCGCACTGGGGTCGGGCGTTCGTCCTACCGGTTCGTTCATTCATTCTCTCTCCCTGTCTCTCTCTCTGTCTCTGTCTCTGTCTCTCTCGCTCTTTCTGTCTCTGCCTCCTCAGTCTTTGCCTTTCTCTGACTCTGTGTCCGTTCCTCTTGGCCTCTCTCTCCCTGTTACGTTTTATTATGAGGAACAGGCGCCCCAAAGTGCGCTCCTTCCCCATCTCTTCCGTTTATTCCAACCTACACCATTTTCCGGGAAAACTTCGTTTGGAAGAGCGAGGTAGCCTTTTCCTGTTTGAACGTGCAGAGGCGCTCACAGAACTGGACAGTGTTGCTTGGTTTCGGCTCGCCCCTCTCTCGTGTTTCTCCCCGGTGTGTTCACGGAATCTCCAATTCTTCCACTTCCCAGACCAAGCCCGCTGCAGCCTCGGAGCCAGGCAAAGGCTGGGAAAACAGGAAACCTGTTGCGTGTTCACCAGTTCGCAAGCCGGGCTCGGGGGCTCTGCCGGGAAGTGGCCAGGACTGGAAGGATGCCGGGTGTCTTCCTGAGGGGGAGAGGGCTGGGCAGATTTCAGAACAAAAGAGAAACAGAGTTCCCTAGAAAGTGAAGCCCTGACGGCTGGAGGGAGGGATGGAGTGGTGTCTAGGGGGCTCTGCCGCTCCCTCAGAAATAATCCAACACAAACTTCTGGGGATTAACCTCACAACCCTTTTACTGCGGCATCGTTCGGAACCGGACGAATTACTGTTACTTAAAATAATCAAATAATTTGGCTTCTTTCTAAAAGAAACCACTATATGCCTTCCAATCTAAAGCAAAATGCTCTATGGTCAAATGTATTAATGTGGATTAGTCTATTGGTGTTTAATAATGATAACTATTATTATTATTTATTAACTAGTTTTATCATTATTAGAATGCCTTAATGTTTAAAAATAGCATCTGACTTAGATTTTCTTCTGACAAAGAACTTTAAACCTTAAAACAATACTTGGAGCTGGTCTTTTTAGTATATGAAACATTGGTGTATCTGGGTAGGATTATGGGTCTTTTTGTTTGGAGCTGGTCTTTTACTAAAATGTATAAAGCATTGGTGTGTCTGGGGTTGGATTATGGTCTTTCTGCTTTGGTGTGTCGGGGTGGATTATGGTCTTTCTGCTTTGGGGTATCTGGGGGTGGGTTATGGTCTTTCTGCTTTGGGGTATCTGGGGGTGGATTATGGTCTTTCTGCTTTGGGGTATCTGGGGGTGGATTATGGTCTTTCTGCTTTGGTGTGTCTGGGGGTGGATTATGGTCTTTCTGCTTTGGGGTATCGGGGGTGGGTTATGGTCTTTCTGCTTTGGGGTATCTGGGGGTGGATTATGGTCTTTCTGCTTTGGTGTGCCTGGGGGTGGATTATGGTCTTTCTGCTTTGGTGTGTCTGGGGGTGGGTTATGGTCTTTCTGCTTTGGTGTGTCTGGAGGTAGATTGTGGGTTTTTCTGCTTTGGGGTATCTGGGGGTGGACCATAGTCTTTCTGCTTTGGGGTACCTGGGGGTAGGATTATGGGTTTTTCTGCTTTGCCCTTCTTTGTTCACTACCCTGGGCATGTGTAAAATCAGGACGAAAGAGGAATTGACGGCTGAGTGATTACAGTTTTACCTGGGATTGTTACTTGGACACCATGACTGGTGTCCCCACATGATTAAATGGAACTCACTCTTCTTTTTGGGCGTTCCAGGTCCGGCTGGCAGGAAGGCCGGATCTTAGAACCCTTCCAAGCAGTGCCACCTCCCATGCTTTGTGACATTCCCCTTCCTGGCTCTGTGGAGTAGAGGAAATGGGTCTGAGGGGCAGGAAGAACCTGACCTCCAGCCTCGCGTGTCTTCCAGGTAGGACCTGGCGTGGGCACAGGCTCATGTGGTTCAGCTCCTCCAGCTAAGGCTGGGGAAGGAGCCAGGAAGGGGAGAGCAGGTGGGATGGGAGAAGTGGGGGCTGGTGGGGAGTGACAAGGTGATATTCTGAGATATCCTAGATGGGCTGCACCTGGGGAAGACTAGAATTAGAAAAATCAGCGCACTTGATAGCAGAGAGGTAGCTGTTGGCCCCTTCAGCTTCACATCTCAGAACTCCTCCTTGCAACTCCAGTGGGAGAAATGCTGGTTAAGAATAGCCGCTACGCCGTCTTAAAGTTCACACCACCCTGATGATTAGCATATGCATTCCATTTACAAAAACCTATATGAGAGCCCACGTATCGTGTCTCACTGGACGCTTATCACAATCTCAAGAGGTGGGTGAGCAGGTGGTTCTCATGATTTCCATCCTACAGGTCAGGAGACTGAAGTGCCTTCATTCATTCCGTACCAGGAGATGTGTCTATGTCCTCATCTGAGCCCCGGGAACCGGCGACAAACAAGAGACAGAGCTCTTGGCTCTCATAGGGTTCTCTTCTCCCAGGCTCAGGGAGATTAAATGGCCGCCCAAGACCACACAATGGGTCTGGACAGACCCAGAATGGTTTGGGTCCAGTCCCTGTAAGCTGCCTCTGCAATAGAAACCTATTGGTAGATATTTTAATTAATAGTTGGGGCACTTAGGAGCACTTTAATTTTCACAGTGCGTGTAATAACAGTATTTCCGGGACAGGAAAAAAAAAAAAATCAAGGAAATTATTCAGGTGATTTTAATTATCTTTCTCCTAAGTGAAAGCCCCTTTCTCTTGAAAATCTGACCTTATAATTATCTCTTATGCTAATTATAAAGATATCCCACCTTCTTTTCTTGAGTTTATTTTTTTTCTCATTTTTATGCTGTGTCATGTATTTATAGAATGTGTTTAAGGTTGGGAGTCTTCTTTTTGTTATCTCTATTATATCTGGAGTCAAAATATCACCATTGTGTAATTGAATGAGATGATTTGCAACCATTGCTCCCAGTGCCCCATGTAAGTTCTACTGTCTTTCTAGACTTGTATAATCTAGGAATCTGTGATAGGAATGCTGATAAAAGGGTGGCTCATACCTTCTGCTTTTTATTTTGTAGCAGATGGGGGGGAAGTTAGACTCAGGAAAGAGGGGTAAACATAGCAAAGTTAGGTTGAAAATGGTTTGTAGGAGGATTTACGTGGTTTCAGAGGAGATGTGTCTAACTCTTCGCATAGTAATTAACAAGTCAGCATGTTACCGATTGACTTGACAAGGTCAGTTAGCCCAGTGGGTCTTGCTGGGCCCCCACTCTTCATGCCAAGGAACCGAGCAGAGCTTCCAGCTTTAAGAACCAGAATCCAGTCACAGGGTTCCTGACAGACGGACGCCCACAGGAGGCTGGGACAGGAGCCCCACGGAAGGTTCTACCTGTGGGTCGAAGCAGACGCTGAGTCATCTGGTTAACTATTTTGAGCATAATATTATATGCATGCAGTGCATTTAATTAAGAAAAATCGCACAACAAAATCCTTTGAGAAGGACAGCGTTTGTCTGATAATTTTCTCAAATACTTAGTCCCATAAAATTTAGTTTTAGAAATTGTATTGCTCTTAAAATACATTTAAACAGTCAAAAGATTGGAATGGGAGCCTAAGGAAAAGCAGGAAAGGCTGAAGCGGGAATTGTGTGAGTTGAAGGCACCTAGCATTTGGCTGCATTGGCAGGTGTTACATGGAGGCTGGTGAGGGTGACCTGGAGCCTCTGGTCATGATCAAATGAGATAAGGAAGTTAGGCTGCTCTGAAAATCGACACACAGCCCAATCCATAGATGGTGTTATTATCATCAATATGATTATTTTGTGTAATTCCACAATAGCTGTTTCATTAACTTCCAAAATGTGGAATTGCATATATTTTTAAATTTTGTGTCCATTTTTAAAAAGTTTACCTACCTTTCTAAAACGAATCAACCAGAACGGAGTTTCACCCACGGGAGGTGCCTGCCTTCCTCTTGCCCACTTGCTCCCAGCGTGGGTTTGCCGTTTCTCACCTCGACTTCCCGACAGAGACCCGGGATCTGTCGCCATCGCTCCTGTCTCTCGGGCAAACGACCGTGAACATATAACCTTTCAGGTTTTTAACAAATTGCAAGATTTCAGTGAAAAAATTACTATAAAGCATTGTGGTCCTAATTTAAGAAAAAAATGTTTTAAAAAGTACATAGTGCATTGAAAAAAGACCATAAGATTTTATGCCTACTTGTTAATTTAGGTTACCATGAATTTTATTTTCCCTTTTGCATTTTTCAGTACTTTATGAGTGTTCTACAAAAAATCACTCTGCTCTTCTGAGCAGCGTAAAAATCACACTTTCCAACATATACCCACTGTCTCCCTTTTCCTTGTAAGAATGTCGTTATCATCTTCCCAACCTTTTCCAGTCCAACGAGGGTTGGCTTTTAGTTCAGAAATACCATGAGAGACACAGGGAAGAACTGTGCGAGTTAGAGGTGGGGAGGAGGAAGGAAGCCTGAGGCTGAGAAGCGAGGGACTGAGAGGCGGAGCTGGAGGAGGCCTTGGGCCGTGTGTTCCGGCTGGCAGGTGCAGCGCCCATCCCCTCATGCAGGGCAGGTGTCGGGTGCCTGGGCCTCGGTCACTTGAGGGGAGTGTCCTCCCCATCCAAAGACAAGAAAGGACGTGCTCCATGCACACAGGAAGGCAGGTGTGGCCTGGGGTGGGATGGGCCGGGGCGTGGGCGTGGGACACGGGGACACGGGTTGGGGCTGGGGGAGCATGACTTTAACAGACACTGGGTGATGGATGTGTAGGTGCCAGGTCCTGGGCCGCCAGTGTGGCCTTGGGGCTCCTGGTGCTGTGCCCGCCCCTGCACCCACCTGCTTGTCACCCCTCTAGGTTTATTCAGTGTGACCCCTGCAGAAGCTGCCTTGGGGACCCGGAGGGCGCAGGTGTGGCCCTGGCTGCAGGGACCCCGAACCCCAGGGCGTGTTCCTGAGGCTGGGTGTGGGGATTGCTCCCTGGCCCGCACCGGGCTGCGGCCTCTGGTGTCTCAGGAGGGTGGCTTTCAGAAGGAGGGCCTCACTCCACACCAGTGGTGCTGGGCTGAGGGGTGCACTGTGCCATCACCAGGCCCCTCAGGGAAGGCTCTGCCCTCTGCCCGCTGCCTGTGGGTGACACATCCGGAGCGCCCTGTCCCCAGCCCTGCTTAAGTTTTCTCCACTGAACTTGGCCTTTTCCAATGCCTGCAGCGTGTGCCTCTGTCTGTCTGGTGTCCCCTCTGCCTCTCACATGCGAGGATGCTCTGCAGGGGCAGGGGTGAAGGGGCAACTGTGGAGAGCACAGGGGTGAGTGTGGCTACTATACTCAGTGTGTCTATGCAGCAACATGTAAGAGAGGCCTTCAGGGAGTGCTGCGAGTGTCTAGCTGGAGACAGCAGGTACAAAGGCCCTGTGGATGCTGCAACAAGCCTGCCTCTAAGGAGGCAGGAGATGGGGCAACCAGGGAGAGGCTGAAACCACTGCCTGCGGCCTGGAGTATAACACTAAGGACAGTGCCACTGGCCGCCTCGGTGCAGTGGGTCCAAGACGGGGGCAGCCTGGCTGGCTGGTGGGAGCCGATGGTTTATTACATTGGCGAATGGAGTGATCTGGTCCCCTCCAAGGTGGAAGGTAAAAAGCGATTTAGGATGAGATTCTTGGGACAAGTGTATCTTTGCAAGGGTCAAGAGGCAGGCAGGGTGCTGTGCCGGGGGCTGTGCTGAGTCCAAGAGGGCCTTGAAGGAAGGCCGTGACCAAGGCCACGCCCTTGCTGGGTCAGCTGGATAAAAATGACTCTCTCAGATCAGCAGAGCAATTCTGCATCTGCACATTGATTTATAGTTTTGTGAAACTCATTTCTGAGGATGTAACAATCCCTTCCTTGGGTGCGATAACCTTGCCTTGCCATTGAGCTCTGCTGATGGGATTGCAGAAGTGTAAATCTTCAGATGCGGACCTTCTAGGGTGTGGACAATGTCTGCACGGCCGTCATCGCTGCCAGCGGCTCTCCAGTGTGCGGTCTGCTTTCCCTGCACACACGCACTTACACATGTGCACACACACAAATGTTGATTTTCAAACTCTTGGAGTAGGAAGACCTTACCATGGTTTTTTAAATCCCCTATTTTGTTTGGAGTCACACAGGGATCAAGATGATTCAGTTTTCAAAAAATAAAGCAAAACAGATGGCACAGCTGGATGGCTGCTGTGTGCGTTCCTCTCTCCCTGCCCCTCCCCTGGTGGCAGCCCCCTCCCCCACTGGGTGTGGCTGGGATAGGCGGATAGAGAGGGTGTGTCTGTGAGCGAATGGTAATGATAAAACAGTAAACAAAAGATGCTCCTGTCCTCCTGGGGACACCAGGGGGAGAAAGTCAGATAGAGGAAGAGGCAGCCAATAGGAAGGAGTCCTTTCTAGTTTGCTTTCTTGAGTTCTGTGACAGTTAGAATTAGGTTTGGCCGCAAATACCAGGCTATCCAGTATAGTGGCTTATGGTCCAGAGATTTTATTCTGTTATCTAATGGAGGTTGGGGGTGGTCCCCTGAGGTGGGCCTGGAGGCAGGCGGGGATAGTGCATCCCAGGACCCCTGGGTAACGGAGCACGGCCCAGAGCCTGCTGGCCTGACGCCCTCCTGAGCCTGAGCCCTCACTGACAGGTCCTCGCCTTCCTCCCCACAGAAGGGCTTTCGAGGAGGAAGAAGACGTCGCTCTGGTTTGTGGGGTCTCTGCTGCTGGTGTCCGTCCTCATAGTCACCGTCGGGCTGGCTGCCACCACCAGGACGGAGAATGTGACCGTTGGGGGCTACTACCCAGGGATCATTGTGAGTGCGCCGGGCGGGCGGCCTGGGCCGGGGAGGGCAGGGTGGTGTGTGGCTCTCTCAGGGTGGAGTCCACGCCAGCTCACAGGGCTGGGGCTGAAGGTGGGGAGGCTTCGATCAGTGCTTGTGGTCGGCAGGGTTATGGCCCCCACAGACATGCACTTCCCAATCCCCAGGACCTGGGACAGTGGCAGGTCCAAGGCAGAGGGGAATTGGGGTTGAGGTCCAAGTTGATCTCAAAATAGGGCCAGGTGCCCTCCATTGTCTGGGTTGGCCCGATGTGGTCACAGGGTGACCAGAGGGCAGGAGGGGGGCCAGAGCCCGGCAACAGGAAATGTCCAAGGTGGAGGAGGGGCCAGGAGCCCAGGATGTCCAAAAAGGCCGGACAGAGCCTCCCCAAGCATCCTGGAAGGATTTTACCCTGAGGGACCAGGTCGACCACCATAGCCCATGGAAGGGGAAAGTAACTTTAAACGATTCCTACCAAGAAGCCGTGGGTCAAAGATCGTATTAGTGACGTGATCGCGTGGGAACGGCCAGAAGGTGGTGGTGCTGACCTCATCCACCCGTCAGGCCAGATTTTGAACAGTAAGGCGGCGAGGTAAATTGATGGTAACCTAATTGGCAAGAATTGGTCACCCAGATTCAAAAGTATCAAGGTTTTTTGAACTATGAAATTACATCCTCTGTCGTTAGTAAAAGAATTCTCCTAAGTGCCTGCATTCTGCACAGTGAACCTCTGTTGGAATGGCTTGGATCAGCTGCGATGCCCTTCACATGCCCCAGAGCCTGGTTGCTACGTCATAAAGTGCTAAAGCAAGATTTTAAAATGCGGCTTCTTCAATCTCATTACTCTCACCTAAAGTACTACCAAGATTGGTAATAATATTGATGACAATCAGCAAAGATGAAAGATTTTTGGCCCTAAGTATTTAGAAATATTTTACAAATACTGTTTATTTCACCATTATATTTTCCTTTGTTTATATCTTAGGGTGTGCCTTAGACATCTACACTATCTACCTGTGTATAGTTTATGAATAAACATATACAAATAGTATCTATGCAGAAAAAGCTTTATCAGTAAAATTGCAAGAGGCCAATGGTGTGGGGACCTTGGCCTCATGTGAGGGGCTTTTCTGCTTCCTGGGCAGAAAGGGGAGCCCAGAGGGCAAGTGGCTGTGAGGAGGGACCTCCAAGTGATTTGCGAAACATCAAGATCAGCCTTGAGTGGTTGTTTTTTTTGGTTTGTCCTCAAGCTTATTTAAGAGCTGCCTCAGAATAACATAATGAAAAACATCAATGGCTAATGCCCAAGCTATGCTCTGTAAAGAATCTACCTTCTGGGCAATGAATTAATGCTGTGCTGACCAGATTGAAATGGCCTGTAGTACAGACAGTTCTGAAAGCAAACTAGGGAGACAACAAATAAAAGCAGCTTCAAGGAAACGTGGCTAAGAGTCACTTCTGTGGAGACTTTCTGCCAATGTAGAGACTTAAGAAGCTGATCTCAGAAGAAGCGGCCAGAACGTGAAAACATCTCCACATTTTCAAGAAAGGTGTGGTTTTTTTCAAATCCCCAAAAAATAAAACGTAGTGTAACAGATGTATTTTAATACATGTATATCGAAGTGAAATTTTGATATTTTTGACGTGTGGAGTTGAACTGCAGTATTTTGAAGCTCAGCACATGAAGAAATATTCCTGTTATCCCTGGAGAATTCTCAAACCGTTGGTGAAAGCCACATGTGTACGTGTCTATCACCACAGACACACAGACAATTACAGAAAAGGCAAAACTATTTACATAAAGAAGTCCGGTTTCCAGTGCATTAAACTTGACACCACGGCCCCAGCAACTCCAAGGCTGTGCCGGGCGGGCCACCCCTTCCAACAGACACTCACTGGGAAGTGCGACCGGCCCGGCGCACCTGCGTGGGAGCAAGAGCCGTCTTAGGCCTCGGCACGGTCGTTGGCAGGTCCATGTTGGCTGCTCTGAGCCAGATTTTCGGTGGGTGTTGCTGAAATGCATGTTCTTCACACTGATTTTAAAAATTCCTCTGCCAGGTGGGCGTCACCTGCCAGGACGGGCCCTGGGTGGAGGGTGCGGATGCCCGGCCGGTGGCCTCTGTTCTAAGACAGCACAGTCCCATGTCTATTTCCCGACATCCCAGTATCATTTTCTGCCCAGAGCTGGGGCTTCCTGTGGAGTAAGGGGGCTCTGCCGGACCCCTGGTGGCCTGTGCTGCAGCCCGGGGCCCCCTCTGTGCCTGGCCCAGGTGCCCCCTCTGTGCCTGGCTCAGGTGCCCTTTCCCCACACCTGGCACCTCCCTGCTAACGGTCTGCCCTGCTCACTCTCCCGAAGCAGCAACCAGAGTTAGGCCGTCTGAGCAGGGGTCACTGGTGGCCCTTGTGCCTGGCAACCCTTCTTTTGAAACACGGCTGTAGTTCCCTAATACCTTACCCAGGAGCCATGCTCAGGGGCATCTCAGGCCTGGAGAAGACGGGACAGATGGTGGTGCTTGGTGGCCCTGGGTTCCCGAAAAGATGTTGTCTCTGGGGGAGGAGTGGGAACTTCTCTTACCCCAGAGTCACAAGCCAAACAGATGCATCATTAAAAACCTCTGAGCAGAGAAGACAGGACAGGTGATGTTGCAGAGATGCCTGCCCAACGCCAGCAGACGCACCTGCTGCTCAGTGGTTGAGGTTCTTGAGGTAGGGATGTCTGGCCTTCGTCCCTGGATAAAATGCCTTTGAGGGCGGGATTATTTGCTTTAAATGTCAGTGTTAAGCTTCTAGGCACGTTAATGAGTGTTTCTCTCTCGTTCTTCCTTTGGTTTTAGCTCGGCTTTGGATCTTTCTTAGGAATTATTGGCATCAACTTGGTGGAGAATAGAAGGCAAATGGTAAGAAAGTACATGGGGTGGTGGGGAGCATGAGTCCCTCATCAGGGGATGGTACAGCTGCACTGGGGCTCTGAGAAGAGTCAGCCCTGCCTCCCCAGCACACTGGTGTCTACAGGACCAGCTCTGAGGTTCCCGGGCTGTGGCCTGCACAGTCCTGGATACAGGGTTCAGCGAGTACCATTCACACCTTAGTCTAAGCGAGCATGGCCCTGGGTTGCTGGTGTATCAACCTCACGTGGTGTGCAACCACCAATGCTGAGGCCTGGGAAGCTCAGAGAATGCATGAAGTTTGGGACGGGGGTGGCAAATTAAATTAAGTCCTAGTGTGTAAAGTTCAGGCAAAAACATGTGCATAAGCCTCTCTTCCTTTTGAACCAGTGGCTCTAGAGTCTTGTTTTTCGTCTGAGTTTGGTTAATGTTTATCTTGCCCAGACTAAGAGGAGAGGTAAAGACATAAAACCAGGAGGGAGCCCCCGGTTCACATGGCAGCAATGCAGAGTGAAATCCAGACACTGCCTGTCCATGATGTTCGTGGCTGTATGCGCGGCAACAGCGATCAGGTTCAGCTGGAAGTCTGTTTTGTTGATGCACTGTTTTGGGGACTATAACTTTAAAAACAAAAACTGGCTAATTTTGTCAGTTCACGGTGGCAGCCAGGATTGAATTTTAAGAGCAGGGTTTAGAGGGGAGGTGGTTGGGCCATTTCTGCCTCATCTCCCAGTTGTTGCTTCAGAGCAGGCTGGAGTTCTCAGCTCTTCCCTGCACCGGCTGTCATGTTACTGTATCATCCAGCGTGCAAATGACCTGTGTCGGGCCCCCAACCCCTGCCTGTTCCCAGTTCCCAGGCCGAGAGGGAGGGTGAGATGGCTGGGCCGCGGTGTATGCCCTCGGAACCCTGTATGTTAGTCTGTTTTCACACTGCTGATAAAGACGTACCCAAGACTGGGCAGTTTACAAAAGAAAGAGGTTTAATTGAACTCACAGTTCCACGTGGCTGGGGAAGCCTCACGATCACGGCGGAAGGTAAGGAGGAGCAAGTCCTGTCTTACGTGGATGGCAGCAGGCAAAGACAGAGCCTGTGCAGGGAAACTCCCCCTTGTAATAACCATCAGATCTTGTGAGACTTACTCACTATCATGAGAACAGCACAGGAAAGATCTGCCCCCCATGATTCAACTGCCTTCCACCAGGTCCCTCCCACAACACATGAGGATCCAAGATGAGATTTGGGTGAGGACACAGCCAAACCATATCACCCCGCATGGGACCCAGCAAACTCCCACTGCTGCCCAGGAGACTGACCCTTGGGCAGATGGAGCCTGACCGTGTGAGGGTGGGAGGTCCCTGGAGGGTTGGGGGTGGCTGCAAAGACACTGGGATTCTGGTGGAGCAAAGCGTTCTGTTCTGCATAGTAGAGACAGTGTGCACTGCAGGGTGAGCTGCCGTTCTTGGCTAGCAGTTGCAAAGAGACGGAGAGATAGGCCCGGCATTTCCTCTCCCACCCACCCCCTGTTGTTGGCTCCCGAGGGTGGGCGTCACAGCTGACCAGGGTGGGCAAAGGCCTCACACACACCAGTCACAGAATGGTGTTGGAAACAGACGCCACCTTTGGGAGCCAGCATGCCCCCATGATGGTCTCTAGACAGCATCTCTTCAGAGTCTGGAGCTGCTTGGTGCCTGTAGGGAGTTGGGTGGGCCTGAGGAGGGAAGGCCTCCTGAAGACTTTTCCATAAGATTTCCCCAAAGAGGCAGAAGCTGGGTGTGAAGCTGGGCTTTGGCGATGCACAGGATGGGTGGACAGTGTGGGTCTGTTTTTCTTTCCTTTTAAAAAAATGGCTTTAATGAGATATAGTCCACATTCCATATAACTCACCCATTTAAAGCACACAATTCAATGGTTTTTAGTGTATTCCCAGATATGTGAACCATCAGCACAGCCAGTGTTAAAACATGAATCACATCAGCAAGAAACCCACACCCTTCTCTTAGCACCCTACCTACCCAGCCTAAGCAACCAGGAATCAACTTCCTGTCTCTGTAGATTCCTACTCTGGGCCTGCCTGCGGAGGGAGTAATGTGTGATATGTGTTCTCTGTAGATTCCTACTCTGGGCTTGTGTGTGGAGGCAGTAACGTGTTATGTGCGGTCTCTGTGTCTGGTGTCTGGCACTGCGCATGGTGTCTTTAAGCTTCCTCCAAATTTCCTTGCTTTCTATGGCTGAATAATAATCCACTATATGGGCCGGACACGGTGGCTCATGCCTGTAATCCTAGCACTTTGGGAGGCCAAGGTGGGCGGATCACGAGTTCAGGAGTTCAAGACCAGCCTGACCAACATGGTGAAATCCTGTCTGTACTAAAAATACAAAATTAGCTGGGCATGGTGGCACATGCCTATAATCCCAGCTACTCAGGAGGCTGAGGCAGGAGAATCACTTGAACCTGGGAGGCAGAGGTTGCGGTGAGCCGAGATTGAGCCATTGCACTCCAGCCTGGGTGACTGAGCAAGACTCTGTCTCAAATAATAATAATAACAATGATAATAATAATAATAATCCACTGTATGGATGGGCCACACTTATCCATACACCAGTTGATGGACATTACAGCTGTTTACAGACTTTGGCTGTTGTGAATAATGCTGCTGTGAACATTTGTACATAGGTTTCTGTGTGAAAATGCATTTACATTTCTTTTGGGCATGTACCTAGGAGTGGAATTGCTGGGTCATACAGTAATGCTGTTTAATCATTTGAGGAACTGCCAGACTGTTTTCCAAAGTGGCTGCCCCATGTTACATTCCCACAGACAGGCATGAGGGCTCCTGTTTCTCCACTCCCTCACCAGCACTTGTCACTGACTGTTTGATTCTAGCCATCTAATGTGTGATAAGTGGTATCTCATTGTGGTTTTGATTGCATTTCCCTGATGATTAGTGATGTCGAGCATCTCTTCATGTGCCTATTGGCCGTTTGCATATGTTCTTGGAGAAATGTCTGTTCATTTCCTTTGCTCATTTTTACATTGGGCTGCCTTTTCCTGTTGAGTCATCAGAGTCATTTATGTATTCTAGATACAAATCGCTTCTCAGATATGTGATTTGCAAATATTTCCTCACATTCTGTACATTGCCGTTTCACTTTCTTAATGGTGTCCTTTGAGGCACAAAAGTTTTTAATTTTGATGAACTCTAATTTATTTTTTCTTTTGTTGTTCATGCTTTTGGTGTCATATCTAAGAATGTTTTACAAATCTAAGGACATGAAGATTTACCCCTAGATTTTTCTAGAAGAGTTTTGTAGTTTTAACTCTTCCATCTGGGTCTGTGATCCACTTTGAGTTAACTTTTGCGTATGGTATGAGGTAGGAGTTATTATAGTTTTAACTCTTCCATCTGGTTCTGTGATCCACCTTGAGTTAACTTTCTTCATGGTGTGAGGTAGGGACCCATGTTCATGCATTTACGGACATCCAGTTGTCCAAGCACCATTTGCTGAAAAGACTGTTCTTTTCTCATTGAATGGTCTTGGCACCCTTGTTGAAAATTAATTGGCCATACATATATGGTTTATTTGTGGACTTTTAATTCTATTCTTTTAATCTATATGTCTTTGCTTGTGCCGGTACCACAGTCTTGATTACTGTAGCTTTAGAGTGAGTTTGAAATAAGGGCTTGTGAGTCTTCCAGCCTTGTTCTTTTTCAGGATTACGTTGGCAATTCTGAATCCCTTGCAATTCCATATGAATTTTAGAATCAACTGGTCAATTTCTACAAGGAAGCCAGCTGGGATTCTGGTAGGGATGTGCTGAATCTGTAGCTCAGTGTAGGGAGTGTTACCATCTTAATATTAAGTATCCCAATCCATGAACATGGAATGTTTTCCCAGTTATTTAGACCTTCTTTAGTTTTTAAAACAATGTTTTGTAGTTCTTAGAGTATAAGTTTTGTATCAAATTTACTTATTTTTCAGTATTTATCAAATGAAGTACTTACCAAATTAAATTTATTCTTAGGTACTTTATTCTTTTTGAGGCTATTTTGAGTGGAATTGTTTTCTTAATTTAACTTCTGGGTTGTCCATTGCAAGTGTTTAGAAATACTGTTGACTTTGTATGTTGATCTAATATCTGCAACCCTGTGGAACTCATTTCTTTGTTCTAGTAGTTCTTTAAAAAATGGATTCCTCAGGATTTTTTAATCTACTGGAGCATGTCAAATAGAAACACTTTTGCTTCTTCCTTTACAATCTGGATGCATGGGGACCATTTCTATGGCTTCGGTAAAAACACATGGGTACTGGAATGACAGGATAAAGACCCAAGAGTGACGGCCACTGCCAGAGCCGTGTGGTGTTCACCTGTCCACGGGCTTCCCTCACTGGGGTGAGGAAGGCACCCGGATGCCCCAGACCAGAACCTCTGAGGGGTTGTCTGTGATGCCTGTGCAAGCTCATTTCTGCCTTTTCAGGAGAGGCATTCTTCTGGGCTGATGTTGTATGGTGAACCCATATTTCACAATCTCACATTAATTTAATACTTGTGGTAGCTGGAACCTGGCTGTCCGTGAGTGCTGCGTGATCGTAGGAAACTTACTGAAGCATTTCAGCCTCAGTTTCTTCATTTGCATGGTGGCTGGGAACATTTGAGCCAATGCACATGAGAATGTCTTGTTCATGACAGGTTTCGAGAAAGCGGTGGTCATTGTTATACACTGGTTTTAAGTGCATAGATGTCAGAACATTCAAGTTATTTCAAAAGGCAGCAAGGCAGGCTGTCAACGTCAGCTACAGAGAGAACGAGTGTATTTCCAGTGCTTCCAGATACACGTGAACACTTTTTTCTCAATTTATTTTTATTTTAAATTTTTACCATAGAAAACTTTAAGCACATACAAGGGTGAAGAAAATCGCAATGAACCCTCCTTGCCCCCCACCCAACTCCATCACTTGTCCTGTTCACCCCCCGCCTGCTTCTTCTCTTCCTATGTTGTTTAGAAGCAAATGCCAGACGTGGCATCATTTCATTTATAAAGATTTCACTCTGTTCACTTAAGGGATGAAATCTGATCATTAGGAATGGCTTCGCCATTATCCCTACCCATTATCATGTTAGTCTCCGGTGACATCTGAAGAATGCCCCAAATCACATCAGCTTTAGGTATTTTTCCACTGCTGAATGAGTTACTGTTTCCTCCTCACCCAAACAGACATATGAATCATTTATTTCAGGAAGAGCTCTGTAACCTGGCACAGTCCCATAGGTCCCACAGGGATGGGAAAGGGAAGGGCATAAAACAGTGTTAACTGGCAATTCTCCTGTGCCCCACGTATGTGCACATGCACAGACACACACGACACACTCCACACAGTACAAAACACATGCATGCCACACACCACACACACACAACACACATGACACACACACCACACAACACACAAATGACACACACCACACAATACACACCACATATACCACACACCACACACACTATACACAACACACACCACACATATGACACACACACCACACATGACACACACACCACACAATACACACCACATACACTACACACACGACACCACACACACTACACACACCACACACCACACACAACACACAATACACAATACACGCTCCACACAATACACTACACACACCACCTACAACACACACGACACACACAACACACAATGCACACCACATACACCACACAACGCACACCACACACAAGACACAATATACAACACACACTCCACACAATACACTACTCACACCACACACACTGCACACAACACACGACACACACCACACAATGCACATCACACACACCACACACCACACACTCCACACAATACACAACACACACCACACATGACACACATTGCACACACAACACACCACACACCACACACTCCACACACACCACATACACCACACACAGCACACAACACACACTCCACACAATACACTACACACACCACATATATGACACACACACTACACAATGCACACCACATACACTACACAAACCACACACCACACATACTACAACACCACACACACCACACATACTATACACACCACACACAGAAGTCTTTGGTCTGGACTGAGCCCGTTTTCTCCATTCCTCTAAGTGCTGGAGGGTGAGGTCTCGGCCGCCTTCCTTGCGCCCTGCTTAGCTTCTGCTCAGGGCCTCGCTGTCGTGGGAGCCCCATCAGCCTTCCTGGGGCGTCGGGCCCCGCACCTTCTCCTGTGGAAGCTGTGAGGGTCTCCGCCCCTTTGGGTGGGGCTGGTGGAGAGTGGTTTCTGGGATCCCTGGATGGCAGTGTTGGGCGGCTCTGCGGGTCACCGGTGAGGACACTGTGAGCTGCCCAGGGCAAGAGCCCGTGCCAAGGCCCCACGGCCCCGAGTAGGTCCCACAAGGGCCGGGTGTTCTGGAGGACAGGCGTTGAGTGGGCCCCATCCACTTGCCATCCAACCCTGGATCCCACGACCTCACCCACAGCGGGGGAATAACTGAGGGAGTGGAGCACAGGCGGAGCATGGGCACAGGCGGCCACACTCGCTGGGCACCCAGCTCGGGGTTGGTCCTGCCGGGCCCACAGCCTCACCACCGAGGCCTCTTTCCCTGAAGCTCCTGTGGCCCTGATGAGGCCCCAGCTCTCCGTGCCTGTCAGGCACTGGGGGGTGTTTCTCAGGCCGGTGGCCCCACATCCCCGCCCAGGGACCATGGGACCCCTGCGGCCCCACAGGTGGCTTGAGTCAGACTTTTCCAGGTGCACGTGGCCTGTGGCATCGGCAGGTCTCTGTGTGCAGCCATGTGCGGCCTGTGAGCTGAAGCTGAGTCTTCCGGGCCGCCCCTCCTGGACCGTGGTGGGACCTGCCCAGGACACCAGTCCACACCTCCTCCATGCAAACGCCTCAGGCCACACCTGCAGGGGATGGGGTGAAGTTCAAAGAGGACCCTGTCCCGTCCCCCACTCTCTGCTCAAAGATGCTGCCACCTGAACCCTCCAGACTTGGGTTAATTTTGGGAGAAGGGTGGGCACTGGCACAAGGGTGGGTGAGTGGAGCGACTTGGGGGCCGCCCGCCCTGCCTTCTTTTCTGGCTGCCTGGGCATCTGCCACGGAAACTAGGTCTAGTTACAGGAAAATCAACCAAGTCCCAGGTTTTAGGCCCCTGAGCTTGGAGGCCTGTGGGATCGTGCACCTGCCACTCAGGGGCTGACTCGGCGGCTCTGGTTTCTTAAACGCACCTCTCTTCTGCGGGCGGCACCTGCTTCCTGTCGTCCTCCCGACAGCTACGTCCAGCCCAGACAGGCTGGAGCCGGATCCCCACCTGCTGCTGTCCGAGCTGTGAGCTGTGCACGTGACCCCACCTCAGAGCTGCTGGCTCCGTCCCACGGCCACAGTGGGGGCCTAGCAGGCCCTCGCCTCAGGACGCCTGTTTTTTTCTGCTGTCTGAGCAGCCTTGCCTCCCTGGGCACGCCTGGTTAGCAGGGGCTGGGGTGCAGCCTCCCGGACACGTGGGGCCGAGTGTGACACTCAGAGGGGTCGCTGACCTGGAGCTTCCCGACACAGTGGGCGCAGGCGACCTGTTCCTACCTTGGTTTTCCCTTGGTTGTCTCCCATCCTGATGCGTGAGCTGGTGGTGCTGACGCCCTGGTGAGCAGGAAAAGCTCCTCCTCGTTCTGCAGCAGAGCTACACCCCATGCTGAGCATCCCTGACGCCCACCCACAGGTCCCAGGAGCCAACGCCTATGGATGCATTGGTTACGAGGTAGAGCTTCGCCTAGGGTCACAGGTGCTTGGGCTGTCTGCTTGTAAAGTGCCCTGTCTGAAACCAACACCTGGAATTTCTATTTTTGCTGCCACAGAAGCTGCATCCACATCTGCTTGTTTGGAAAATCCAACTCATTTTCTGGCTGTGTCCAAATATCTGCATATTTTTGGACAGGGCCCTGGAATTTCTCATGGAAAGCCACAGCCAGATCTGTTTCTGTGGCCACTCCGCAGGGAGTTACATGTCACCGGAGCCTCGGCATCTGTTAGAAGATGTGGTGCACTTTGGGGATCTCTGTCTCCCTCTAGCTCTGTCTCCCTCTCCTCTATCTCTCTGTCTCTGTCTCCCTCTCTATCTCTCTGCCTCTCTTTACACCCAGCACACCTGGATTTGAACCCAGACCCAGCCTCTTGCCAGCTATGTGACCTGGGCGGGGCCAACAGTGCCTGTCAAGCCTGGTGGAGTGCCTGCCCGTTCCCAGTACAGGGCTGGACAGTGGCGGAGGCTGCCAGCTCTACCCGCTGACTGTGCACCCCAGACTGCTGTGGGGCCGAGGGGAGGCGCGGTGGCCCCGGCTGTGTCTCTGGGGGCAGCTCCCCCAGCGCTGTGCTGACTCTAGACTCAGCCCAGAAGGCAGGGACTGCGGTGTGTGGGATGCACGTGCTTCAGCACCTAGAACAGCTCCCGCCCGGGTCCACCAGGCTTTGCTCAAAGGAGGATGGTCTTGGGAAGGGAATCCCCAGGGTCCCCGCACCAGGTCCCTTGTCCTAAGGAGGGGGATGAGCCGTCTCCCTAGGTCATGGGGGGAGCGAGGGCGGCGCTTCCTGCCACTGCCTTTGCCCTGTGCAGCCTGGGCGGCCTCAGACAGAGCCTTCCTGGGTGGGTGCTGCAGCTCTGCCTCCCCCTGAGTGCCTCCTCCTTGGCTGACCCTGTCATTCACCACCTGAAGCCATTGCTAACAATAACCAATCCAGGTGGTGCTGGGCAGTGCTGCGTGGTCTCTGGGGGTTTCCTGGACGACTGTGGACCGGTCAGGGCTGGCCAGGGTCACAGAGAGGAGCCCACAGCTGCCTGTGCCAGGGTGGAGGGCCTGAGGGGGTGGACAGCACAAGACTAGTCCTGAGCTTGTCAGGAGACGTGGATGGGATGCATTCCTGTAGAGGAAGGCTCGGAACAAGCTGCCCTCCAGCAGGATCGGTGCAGGACAGGCGTGTTCCTGTCTGGCAGAACCCTGCAGTATAAAAAGCCGGCCGAACAGGAATCACGTGATTTTGGACAGGGGTGGAGATGTGAGGGAGGGAAAGGGGATCTTTAGCTTCAATATGTCATCTCCCAGCAAGATGAGAGTCTGAACCTGTGGTGTAGCTGGGTCTGCGACAAGCAATGGTATCAGCTGCTGTAACGATGTGATGATGATCACCTGTGGTGCCATGGCGTCTTCTCCCGGGTGAGTCCCGATTTCACCTGCTGTAATGATATGACGATGATCACCTGTGGTACTGTGGCATCTTCTCCCGGGTGAGTCCCGATTTCATCTGCTGTAATGATATGACGATGATCACCTGTGGTACTGTGGCGTCTTCTCCCGGGTGAGTCTCGATTTCACCTGCTGTAATGATATGACGATGATCACCTGTGGTACTGTGGCGTCTTCTCCCGGGTGAGTCTCGATTTCACCTGCTGTAATGATATGACGATGATCACCTGTGGTACTGTGGCGTCTTCTCCTGGGTGAGTCTCGATTTCACCTGCTGTAATGATATGACGATGATCACCTGTGGTACTGTGGCATCTTCTGGGTGAGTCCGGATTTCACTCAACTGCCTCACTAACCTGACATTAGGTTTTTGTTGATCTTTTTCTAGCCTGGGCAGGGCCTCCACTGACCCATAGAGAAACTGACCCGTAGAGAAACACCCAGAAATGCTCACTCCTGGCCACTGGCTGTAAGAGTTGAAGAAAGAAGAAACATGAAAAGCAGCTCAATAGTCAAAAACAGGTTTATGTTGGAGAATAAACCCTAGAGGGGCTTCGGGCCGATTTAGGTCTGGAGTGTTCTCTCTTACAGACTAAAGGTATTTAAGGATTTAGGAAGGGGAGCTTGTCGCAGGTTCAGAGTGTTTTTGGGTGGAGGGAGTTTTATGGCAGGGTTGGAAGGTTTCAGGTCAGAGGGGAGTTTATCTTGGGGTCGGCATGTTTCTGGTCAAAGGTGTCATTTGTGGTTTATGGTCACGCTGATATTAGACATTAGGTTGATGTTTTGCGGCTGGATTTTGGGGGTTTTTAATCAAGGGGAACTTAAAATGGTGGTGTTTGTCCAAGATGGCGATGTTCTTGCTCTGTCAATCCAGACCCTGTAGTTGAAAAGGACGAGGGGTGATGTGTTCTTTCTGGCTACTTCCTGCTGAGAGAGAGTGGTCCTTACGGGGCACTGAATGCAGCACTGGACTTTTGGGGGCTTAGAGGCAGCATCTGCTGATACATCTAGGAGTGGAAGAGGTGGATTTGTTCCCGGAAGCACTCTCTGTTTTGGGGGCGTAGAGGGAGCGTCTGCTGATACATCTAGGGGTGGAAGAGGTGGATTTGTTCCCGGAAGTGCTCTCTGTTTTGGGGCCATAGAGGGAGCATCTGCTGATACATCTAGGAGTGGAAGAGGTGGGTTTGTTCCTGGAAGCGCTCTCTGTTTGGGGGCGTAGAGGGAGCGTCTGCTGATACATCTCGTCTTCAGCTTATGGGGCTTTAAGAAAGCACAGCTTAGGTTTCAGTGATTTCCAGTTAGAAAAGTGGGGAAAAAGGAAAAATTGAAAACATTATTTTGGAGACTCGTAGCCAGAAAAATTAGAATTTAATCTAAACTGTAGAAAATAATAACAATTGAAAAACATCAGACAAGACTGGAATTTTAACAACAGGTGTGCTATAGTTTTTGAAACAATTTTCTCTCTCCAGTTTTCCATTTTTATTAAAAGACACATGGTAGGACTGGTTTACTTTATTATACTTGGCTTAATTATTTGTATACAGTGCAGCAAGAATAATTATTTTTCACATAGGCCTTTTAAATTGTCTTTGATGGAACTTTGTTTTATAGAAGGAATCTGAGATAAGACTTTTTAAAGCTGAGCCCAGCCATGGAATTGTACCATTAAATACCTATGAGTTGGGTGAATTCCTCTCCTGTTGAGGTTCCTGGCCTGTCAGAAAGTGACATTCTTTACTTACCCCAGATCAGAACCCCTGTGCAGGGACTGTGTACACAGAATAGGAGGCCAGTTTCCAAGGCCTTTCTTGGCTTCATAAGTCAAGTTTGATTCCTTAAAGGAAAGCACATCATTCCAACCAAAGTCTTGGTAAAATAACCAGTTTCTCCAATTGTGTCCTGTTACAAAAGAAAACAGATTCTTATTGCACTTATGCAAATCACTATATTGCCATAACTTAAGAATAGTCACAAATACTTTCCAAATTCTGGAGAAAATCAGGTAGAGAGGAACAAATAAGCTCCAAATTTTGCTCATGGGAGTATACTAAATTGTTAAAAGCTGTCAATAGCTCGCAAGACGTTTCCTTGACTCTGAAAAGCAAAACAAAGGATTAGCAACATTTTAAGCAAAATGTCAAAATGATCACTCCAGTCTCCTATTGGTTCAGTTCATGTAGTTAATTCCTGTCCTGCCTGATATTAATGAACATTTTAGCTCTTCAAGAGTCCTGAACATTTTTCCTCTATTCTGATGTCACAGTCTTCAAAGTTATCAGAAACCTGTATTGAAGAGCACCTGGTAAAACTTTATAGCTGATTATGAAACCACCTTCTAAACAGGACCAAAACAAGACAACAATTGCCTATGGATGACAAAATGTTTTAGGGTAGCCATAGTTAAAGACACAATTGACAAGGAAATCTGTTACCTTGTGGCACACAATAATTTTAACATAACAATGATAATTATTACTGATAATGTACACTAAAATATATCAGAATTATAGAAGTCTCCCATAACTTTGGAACACATACCAATAACATATTTATACAAACACAGCCCAAAGAAAGCCAAACACCATTGCATATTTGGCAATGCTTCCTGTATAATTTTTATACCAAATAAGCCGAATTTCACCTTTACATTAGTGTACTATTAATGTTAAACCCAATTCTTAATAAAACTTTATAGACATATTTACCCAATTTTAATGTTTGATCATAAGGTAAGATTTTTATAGACCTTTTATAACTCTTTACAATTTTTGTTAAAGAGCAGGCTAGTGCTCTAAGAGAAACCCATTGTGCTTTTATTTTAATGCTTAATTTGCAGAAAAACTGGAGGATACCCCTTTAACTTTAGCCAATATGTTTACAAATAGAATTTCCTTTACAATCAACCATTCACAACTTGCTTAAACCTTCATTTTTATTTTATCCAACTTAAAACAACCCTTTAACCTTTTAATCTAGGCAAAAATTCACATTCCCGTGCCTCCTTATAATCTTTTTACCAAAAGTATATTTTGCTTTCCTTACACACCTTGCATGTAAACTGTTTCTTCAATAGTCTTAAATACATGTAACACTGTTAACTCTTAGCAACCTTCACTTTTGGTGAAGACCTTGGTACGTTTGGGATTTTAAATGATGTACTAGGTGTGAAGCCTGGGACTTAGACAGAAGTGCACACAAGGTCTGATTCATTCCAGCATCAAACTCCGTGTGTCCCAGGCCTTACCTAGATATAAAGCAGGCAAGTTGTACAGCTAAGAGTCATAGTGGCATTTTATAAAGCATTTAGGAGGCCTAATCACCTTTAAATTCTACATCATTTCTTGCATAAATTCCCTTGTATAAATTCTTTTATGACTACGCAGACAAGCTACCACATGCCTTGACTTTCTGACTTGTCCTAAACATCCCTGTCTTCAAACAACCAGTTATTTTACTTCAGGACAAAAATTTATCATACAAGATCCTTTCTTATATAAATATTCTTTTCTTTAATACCTTTTTGCATAGCTAGGGGGCATGGCTAATTTCTTATATCCCCAGGCCTTATCTAGAATTTAACACTCCAAAATAAATTGAACAATTTTTAAGTCAAAGAACCAGTTTATGATCTAAAAGCATTTAATAAACCTAATATTTGACCTGCATAATTTAGACCAACTGTTTACATTTTTGAAGATATTTTTATTTTAGCAACAGTCTTTACAACTTTTTAGTTTTGTAACTTTCTTTATATCTCTCTTATTTCCTGGTTTCTTTTACCTTGTTTTATATAAAACCTTTAAATAAGCTTTGAATTAGACACAAATTATTTAACCTTTAAAAAGGATACAAGTTTTAGAAAGAATGCTTTCCTACAATATATTTTTATTGGAAAAACCTAAATAATGAAATAGCTGTAGTTTAATTTAATATAACTTTAGATTCCAAATGATGACAAGTTTGTTTACAAATATTTGTCCCATTACATTTATCTAATTATTTTAATCACTTGCCTAGATCATTTATGAAAACTGTGGTAATCATTTAAAGTTATGAAACTGCCATTGCACAATTATGACTGAGACAGTGAAAACGGTCTGAACTGACTCCATCTTGCTTCTGGCCTACCGGATACCGTCCCAGTTACCCTGGGTTCCGTGGACTCACTGGACATGGGGGCGCAGGATCCGGGCACCCTCAGTCCTCCGTTGTCAGTGCCGGCAGCGATGAGATTTCCTCCTGTGATGGTCGGAGGGGGGGGCTTCATTATGAGCCCCACCTGAACGGGGAAGGTGTCCCTGTTGGGAGCCGTCCATTTTCCAGTGTCCCCAGAGACCACAGGTTGGGCACAGTTTGGTGGGGGCAGGGGTTTAGGACAAGCTTTTGCCCAGTGTCCAGCGTTGCCACATCAGAAACAGACTCCCAGAGGTGGGGGACTTTTCTTTCGGGTTATCAGGAGGCTTTTTGTGGAGCTGACTTTTGGACAGCAGAGGTGAGCATCTGGTATTTATATGGAGATGTTTGTCTTTTTGAATTCTTTGTTCCTCGTTTGTGTTGTTAAAGACATGGAAGGCTGCATTTAGGAGGTCCCACTGAGATGTCTGGGGACCCTCCTCTAATTTTTATAATTTTTTCTGGATATCTTGGTGGATTGGGAAACAAATTGGAGGGGGAGAAAAGTTTGACCTTCTCTAGATTCTGGGTCCAAATTGGTATATTTTAGCATCGCTTCAGTGAGGTGTGGTAAGAAAAGGGCAGGATTTTCCTGGGGCTCTTATGTAATTTCTCTGAGTTTTTCATAATTAACTGCCTTATGGGCATTTTTGTCCATGCCTGCGAGGGGACAGGTGATCACGTGGTTTCTTTGCCTGAAGCCAGTGTCTCCCTGTTGGTAAGTCCAATCTGGATCTCTACGGGGCCTGCATCGTTAGCCACTGGGTTTTATATCAGGGTTTGATTATGGAGTTTATCTGCGTCGGCCTCAGCTGAATGCCATATGCTCCTTTTCATCAGGAGTGAGGGTGGAGTTAGAATTATGTCAATGTCATGCCAAGTTAAAGTAAAGGATTGGGCTATGTGCAGGAATTCCCTGTGATAATGAGAGGGATTTTCAGAGAAAGATTCCAGGTGCTGTTGGATCTGTGACAAGTCAGACGTGGAGAAAATCAGACGTGGAGAAAGGGCCATGAACGCAAGCAGTGCCTTCAACCCCAGCTACTTCCTGGAGAGGGAGAATGGCAGAGGTGGCTTGACTGGCTGGGGTAGTTTCTGAATGGGTGACTGGTGGAGAAGGAGGATGGGTGAGGTTTGGGGCTAAAGGCTTGGGGGTAGGAGGGGCCAACAGGGTGGAGGGTTTGGTCGGGTGAGGAGCAGATGCAGAGGGTTGAGAGTACAGAGGGGGTTCATCTGCAGGGTCAGAAGGGGTTTCGGAGGAAGGGATTTCGGAGGAAGGGAAGACCTGGGGAGGGTTTTCTTTAAGAAGAAGGATTTCATGAGGGGTGCAAGCATGACATAGGCAGGCCTGAATATAGGGAACCTCTTGTCATTTGCTGCTCCTGGTTATAAAGTTGTCAAGGTCCCTGAGAATTTGAAAGTCAAAGATGCTGTTTTTGGGCCATTGGCTGTCGTTATCTAGTTTGAATTGGGCCAGGCCGTGTTACCATAAAAAACTAAACGCTTTGGCTTTAGGCTCCCCTGTAAGCCAAGTTTGGTGAGGTTGTGAAGGAGACAGCCGAGCGGGGAGGGTGTAGGGATGTGGGATTGTTGGGCACCCATGTGAGCTGGTAAGAGGAGGCCGAGGGTGTCTGTTTTTGTTCTAGGTGTCTCCAGAAGAAAGACAGAGACCCAGATTCCTGTTTATAAAGAGGACAATTAACCTGAGAAGAGACTGGGAGTTCCCAAGATTTTCCCCAGCTTAATCCCACTGGTCCTCTGAGGACCAGGACGGCAGATCTGACTTTCCTGGGTACCATGAGAAAGCCAGGGGAGGGCAGATCTTACCAGTCAGCTGGATTTGTGTCTGGTGTTGGATGTTCCAGTTGGAATTGGCAAAGCGCCTCCCAGACTGGAGCCACGTGAGGAAGACAGAGAGAGAGAGAGAGAAGGATATGAAGAGGAAGAAGAAGAAGAAGAAGGAGGAGAAGGGAGGAGGAGAAGGAGGAGAAGGAGAGAAGGGTTAGAGAGTGAAATGCCCATTGTGAGCGGTTGGAGGTGGATTTCTGAGACCTGAGGATTTTGAGAGCCCACTGGGGAGTAGCCCCGGCCCAAGCCTCACAGTTCCCTTCGGGTCAGTTGTCCTCCTTATGCAAATTGCTCAGAAAGTAAAGTGAGAGAAAAGACAAGGCAGGTGGCTAGAGGCCCTCAGGATCTAGGAATTAGCCTGGGACGAGCTGCCACTGCCCACGGCTTCCTGGGTTGCAAGAGAGCCTCTGGCCCCAACACCTGTCCTAGGTTTCGGCACCAAATGTAAGAGTTAAAGAGGAAAGAAACATGAAAAGTGGCTCAACCATCAAAGAGAGGTTTATTTTGGAGAATAAACCTGAGAGGGGCTTCTGGTGAATTTAGGTCAGGAGTGTTCTCTCTTATATAAGGGTATTTAAGGGTTTATGAAGCGGGGAGCTTATTGCAGGAGCAGAATGTTTCTGGGTGGAGGAGAGTTTTATTGCAGGGTTGGAATGTTTCTGGTCGGAGGTGTCATTTGTGGTTTATGGTCATGCTGACATTAGTCAGTAAGTTGATGTTTCTGGGGCTGGATTTAGGCAGTTTTTAGTCAAAGGGAACTTAAAATGGCAGTGTTTGTCCAAGATGGTGATGCCCCTGCTCTGTCACTGGCAAAGTGCCCAGGCTGAGAGTCATTTCCTGAAGTTCACTGCCCTGCACGCAGGCACTGGCTTTGCCTTCTGATTTCCACCTGCACTTCTAATACCATGACAGAGGTTGCCCTCCAGGCAAAACACTGCAGGGCAGAGAGGGAGGCTTGCGGGCTTCCCTCACCCCCAGCTGCGGTTTCTGACTCAGCTGGCACTAGGGTCTCATGTTTGCTCCTCGTCCTACCTCTCTTGCTGTTGTCTTTAGCAAATGCATGAGCAAAGAGAGGTCTTAGACCACTGACAGAGAAATAGACCCACCGGAGGAGAGAGGCTGGAAAGCTGAAAAGTTCAATTAAAGAAACTTCTAAGTCAGCAGAAATTTAGAAATTCAGTCTCCCCAACATGAGCTTTCCCTGGTTTTGAAACCCTTAGGTCATTGGTCAGGGTCAGAAGTAGGAACGGTTGCCGCTGGGCTTGGAGACCCCACTCTGGACGTGACTGTGGGTGCTGGACGTCCCCAGGCCTCCCTGTCCTCTTCTCGATGAAGGGATGATAGGGTTGCCCTCAGGGGCTCAGGAGAGGCAGGAAAAACACCTGGGATAGTGGCTTGACGTACTCACACATCCCTGTGTCTTCTCGGACACTCCCGGAGCCAGATGCTTCTCGGAGTGTTTTGGATTTTAGGAGGGAACGTGGGGATGGGCCAGACCGTTTGATTCCTCCAGTGGAGTCTGAGGCAGTCTCCCACTTCGTGTTTCCAAAGCAAAGCACACGAACATTCACACAACGTGGGGTAAATGCAGGCTGTGCATGGACTTCTTCAGACCAGGGCATGCTTTGCTGTAAAATGAATTCAAGCATCAAACCGTGAGGGCTCTGGACTTCGGGATTCTAGCCAGAGAACCATGGGCCACCATCATCACCATCCCCACTGTCATCACAGTCTTTACTATCCCCGCTGTCACCATTGTCACCATCGTCACCATCCCTACTGTCATCACTGTCATTGCCATCATCACCATCCTGTCATCACTGTCATCACCATTGTCACCATCCTCGCTGTCATTGCCATTGTCACCTTCCCCACTGTCATCACCATCCCCATCACCATCACTGTCGTCACTGTAATTACCGTCTTCACTGTCATCACCGTCACCATCGTCACCATCCCCACTGTCATCACTGTCATCACCCTCGTCACCATCATCACTGTTGTCATCACCATCACCATCATCAGTGTCATCACCATCACTGTTGTCACCATCATCACCATCACCATCATCACCATTGTCACCACTGTCATCACCATTGTCACCATCGTCAACATCATCACCGTCATCACCATCATCATCACCATCATCACTGTTGTCACCATCACCGTCGTCACTGTTGTCACCATCATCACCATCATCACTGTCGTTACCCTCATCACCATCATCACTGTCATCACCATCACCGTCATCACTGTCGTCACTAGCAGCAGCTGCTTCCTCTCTGCTGGGGAGTGAATTTCCTCCCTGGCATCCACGTCAGAGAGCAGGCAGGAAAAGGGATTGCAGACGAGTCATCAGAAGAAACCATTACGATGGATTTCTCATTTCTCGGTCTGGGCTGGTGGCGTTGGAGATCATCTGTAGTGGCCTCTCATTCACTGAGAAGGAGGCCACGTCTTGGTTTTTGAGGAGGAGTGAGCCCTGTTCCAGGCTCACTAGTTACACATGTGACATGCATGGGGCATGCCTTCACACAGGAGACCACATTACTCCTGGCAATGGGCCCCGTAAGGCACTTCTGAGAGGTTCTAGTTGTTCGTTGTTTCATACCTGGACTCTGACACTTTAATGAACAGAACATGTGAAAATATGTCATAATTAAATAATTTTAAAATTTTGTCTCTAATAGAGAAAACTTACAGTAGGCCTTGTGCAAACCTGCTAGCTCCACAGTCAGCCACGTGCACGCGCAGGGGTGTTTTCGGAAGAGCTACATTGGGCATCTCCCAGAGCCAACGGTCTGGATTTTAATTTGGTTGCTCTCCTTTATCACTTATTTATTAGCATTTGAAAAACATGTATTCTAGACTAAAATAATGCCTGATTGGTTTAAGTTGGAAAACAGTTTTTAAACGTTCTAAGAATTTCTTCAGTGTGTGGGGAAGGCTTAAAAGGACAGAGGCTGCCTGTTGCTGACCTGAGTGGTGCGGCTTCTCTTCTCCGTTTGCTCACAGAAACCGATGATAGGTGAAATGAGCAGGTCAAAGTTCAGGGTCTTTGGAGGGTGTGGATGGTGCGAGTGTAGGGTGTAGACAGTGGCGACCATGTGGGGAGCCCCTGAGTTTTGTGGTTCTGGGACACCCGCATGGCAGGTGTGCAGGTCAGACGTGAAGAAGGGAAGCTGGAGAGGAAATTGTTAATGAGCTGAAATTGTACATGGCTTAGAACTGTGAGCAGGGACCTGCTTGTGAAGTGAATTAGGTTGTGCCTGGGAAAGCAGTGGGGAGGGGAGTGTGAGAGCCGTGAATGTGTCAAATGCTCATGGTGAATCGCGTCAGCTGGGGCTGAGGGTGACCCCTGGATTGATGGCAGGCAGGGCATGGTGACCTTGGGAGGGGCAGATTTGGGCTTGGTGACCCAGGAAGGAGGAACCAGCTGCAGGTGCCGTCCACTCTCTCCAGGAGGTTTACTCTAAAGGAAGCGAGGCGGAGGAGAGGGCATGGACGGGGAGGAGGTGTTGAGAAGACATCTGTGGTTAAGACGGGATGGGCAGCTCCAGGTGTCGGCCAGGGGCACCATGCCGCAGAGGGGAAGGCGGAGGGAGTGGGGATGGGCAGAGGGGAAGGCGGAGGGGGTGGGGATGGGCAGAGGGGAAGGCGGAGGGGGTGGGGATGGGCAGAGGGGAAGGCGGAGGGGGTGGGGATGGGCAGAGGGGAAGGCGGAGGGGGTGGGGATGGGCAGAGGGGAAGGCGGAGGGGGTGGGGATGGGCAGAGGGGAAGGCGGAGGGGGTGGGGATGGGCAGAGGGGAAGGCGGAGGGGGTGGGGATGGGCAGAGGGGAAGGCGGAGGGGGTGGGGATGGGCAGAGGGGAAGGCGGAGGGGGTGGGGATGGGCAGAGGGGAAGGCGGAGGGGGTGGGGATGGGCAGAGGGGAAGGCGGAGGGGGTGGGGATGGGCAGCAGAGGCTGCATCAGGTGCCTCTCGCAGGTGGAGCTGCTGGCCTGGGTGGGGGCTCAGGGGTTGCACTGCCTGCGTGGCCTGGCACTGGCGCAGCAGAGGCTCCTCTCTGCCCTCGGCTGGTGGCTCCCTGTGTCTCCTCCTGCCACACGTGGCCATCCTAGTGCTGGATTTATGGCGTACACAGCCATCTTAGCCGTCATCGTGTGGGTGATAACAGACCTGTGAGATGGAAGTGGCTGCTCTTGCCCATCCGGGCCCTGGCTCTGTGCCGTCATCAGCACGGTGTCACCGTGTGGCCGCCCTCCACCCGTTTGTCTCTGCACACTCGACCTGTGTACTCCACTCGCGCTTCTGGCCCTCACCATCGCCGTCACCTCCTGCCTGGGCCCTGCCGCTGCCCTCACCCCAGCCAGAGTTCTGGGAAACCCCAGGGAAGCTGGCTCCCCTCCCACTGACCACTGCACCCGGGGGCCGCGCCGCGCCTCCCTCCCTCCCTCCTGCCCCACTCATCCTGCCTCGTGGAGGCCACCGACCGACTGCCCTGGTGCTCCTTAGACCCACATGCCATGCTGTGGGGCCTTTGCAGGTGCTGCTGGGTGGCCTGGGCAGGGTCTCCACCTTGTTGAGTCTCTGCTCGAATGTCCCAGACCACAGAGACCCAGCCGCCCTCTTGAGGTAGCTGCACCCGGGCCACTCTCCCTCCCCACCTTATCCCCTTCCTTCTTTTCCTCTGATCACCATGACCTTATGCTCAGTGTGGTTTTTTTTTTTTTGTAAATCTACTTTCTTCTGTTGGAATGTAAACTCTGAGAGCAGAGGCATTTGAAGGTGACCTTTGCTCAAGAGAAGATGCCCCAACAGAATGCAATGAGATCTTCACAGCCTTCAGTCCAGATCCTTGTGGCTCCAGTGCAGGGACAGAGTTTCTCCTGGCAGTGGCCGTAGACATGCGCAGTCCTCATGGGCTATGGAGAGTGGGTTGCTTGTGTCTTTGGAGAATTGATCTGGTTCCTGCTATGCACGTTCTAGGTCACAAAAAATTTATCTGAACAAGAGTTAACAATGCCTGGAGAAAAGTCGTGACAGAGCCAGGCAGTCCAGGGGGATGTGGGCTGTTCCCTGAGGCAGCTCTCGTGAGGCTGGTTCTGGCAATGACTTTCGGACTTAGCCAGAGGAGCTGGAGGAGGCCATTCCCAATGTCTTTCCCAACACCACTGCCTGGACTCGGGTTGAAGCACCATGAGAAGCTCTTGGCATTTTCATGTTTCTGGCTGTCCTAGTGCTGACTGACCAGGCACATGGACATCCTAACACTGAACTGACCATGTACATGGACATCCTAGCCCTGGACTGACCGGGCATGTGGACATCCTAGCCCTGGACTGACCGTGTACATAGACATCCTAATGCTGAACTGACCGTGTACATGGACATCCTAGCCCTGGACTGACTGGGCACGTGAACATCCTAGCACTGGACTGACCATGTACGTGGATGTCCTAGTGCTGAACTGAACAGGCACGTGGACATCCTAACACTGAACTGACCGGGCATGTGGACATCCTAGCGCTGGACTGACTGGGCACGTGGACATCCTAGCACTGGACTGACTGGGCACCTGAACATCCTAGCGCTGGACTGACTGGGCACGTGGACATCCTAGTGCTGGATTCACTGGGCACATGGACATCCTAGTGCTGGACTGACCGGGCACATGGACATCCTAGTGCTGGACTGACCGGGCACATGGACATCCTAACACTGAACTGACCAGACACGTGGACATCCTAACACTGAACTGACCGGGCATGTGGACATCCTAGCGCTGGACTGACCGGGCACGTGGGCATCCTAACACTGAACTGACCAGACACGTGGACATCCTAGCACTGAACTGACTGGACACATGGACATCCTAGCTGTGGACTGACCGGACACATAGACATCCTAGCACTGAACTGACTGGACACATGGACATCCTAGCTGTGGACTGACCGGACACGTGGACATCCTAGCACTGAACTGACTGGACACATGGACATCCTAGCTGTGGACTGACCGGACACGTAGACATCCTAGCACTGAACTGACTGGACACATGGACATCCTAGCTGTGGACTGACCGGACACGTGGACATCCTAGCACTGAACTGACTGGACACATGGACATCCTAGCTCTGGACTGACCGGACACGTAGACATCCTAGCACTGAACTGACTGGACACATGGATATCCTAGCTGTGGACTGACCGGACACGTGGACATCCTAGCACTGAACTGACTGGACACATGGACATCCTAGCTGTGGACTGACCGGACACGTGGACATCCTAGCACTGAACTGACTAGACACATGGACATCCTAGCTCTGGACTGACCGGACACGTAGACATCCTAGCATTGAACTGACTGGACACATGGATATCCTAGCTCTGGACTGACCGGACACGTAGACATCCTAGCACTGAACTTGCTGCGCGTGGCCACACTCTCGCTGAATTTTACCTTTCACACTGAAAGAGCGGGAGGAAGGACAGCCAGGCAGAGCTGGGACATCTGCGAGGACGTTCGCAGGGTGGGAAGTGTTATGCATGACCAAGTTTGAATGTGTTTATGAAACATGGGTGATGGAAGGTAGACCCTGCAATTTTTAGGGATGCTCTAACAATTCGGTGCTTCTGTGATGTTTTGGGTGAAATTGGGTGGGGGTGAAATATGAACACCTCTCAACGGTCTGGGCCTGTGTCCTGCCCAGGGCTGGGTTGCAGCAGGTTCCTGGCTCCATGGCATTCATGAGGGGTTACTGGGTTGGAAGGTGAACATCTAGGGCCAGCACATCCTGGCAGAGTCTCTGCTGCACGCATTTACGGTGAGAGACCCAGCAGAGCCTGGATGAGTCACCTGCCACCCACTTCTGAAAGTGGCCGGGGCATCTAGCGGGTGGCACCTGCCGGCCGCCGAGCCGGACAGGGACGCTGGATCCTCCTGGGATGGCTTCGGCTCCCACTAGGCAGATGTGGGCTTCCTAACGTTGGGCAGCCCCAACGAATCTGGGGGACCACACTGGTCACACACCCCTCAGGGATCTGTGGGAGCGACGTCGTGTGGACAGATGTCCCCTTGGGGACACCAGTGGCTCTGAGGGTGGTGACTCAACCAGGAGCAGGGAAGGGGTGCTTGTGCTCCTGAGCTGAGGCGCTGTCTGAGCGAAAGATGTTTAGAGCCCCAAGTCCTTAGAGCCGCACCTGCAAAATGCAAATTGTGATGATGATGTCACAGTTGTGCGGATTAGAAGGATGGGTCGAGCGAAAGAACTTTGGAAGCTTTAAAGTGATTTTCTTCATCTTTAAGTCTTTTTTCCTTCTGCCTCTTTGGTTGGGAATTGTGCCCAACAGAAACTGTGGGAGTTCTTAAGGAGCGTGTGCAGTGGTGACGGGACCACGGCCCCTCTGCGTGCTTGCATCTAATGCTGGAAGCATGTCTGCAGGCATGATGGGATGTGACGCCGCTCTCCCTGCAATGCTAGAGCGAGGCACGCAGCCCCCTGATCCAGGCCGGCACCCACGAGAAGGGTGCACTGCGGGACAGGAACATCCCCCGGAACTGCGGGAGGCCCCAGAGCTGGGGACGCGGCCCCGCTGGAGGCCGGCTTTCATCTTCCTCTGGGAAGGTGGAGGGGCTTGGCCCCGACTGGGAAACCTCAAATGTTGCCCTCTGAGCCGTCTGTGTGTGTTTTTATGTATTTGTTCAAACAATTACATTTTTAATGTATTTTACGTATTTATACCTAACTGAATGTAGGAAATTTCAGTTAGGTGTAATTTCTGCCCGCTGTTTTTACACAGCTCTGCATAATAGTCATTTTACTTTTATGCAGCAGTTTCATCAGGAAAATAGGAAGGTGAAGGAAGTCTCTTGCCTTCGGCCACACAACCTTGGCATTGACGACCTTCTGACCGTAACATGGTGGCTGCAGCTCACCCCTAGCCCTGCACATCGTGGCCTCTGCCCCACCTCAGTGGGCCCCAGTCCCACCGACGTGCAGCCCCCAGCACCTTCCCTGTCTCCCCTTGAGGAAATTCTGTTTATTCTTCCAGGACTCGTTCAGGCCTTCCTTCTTTCTCAGGGTGCAATGAGGCCTTCCTTGTGTGTGCACCCAGAGCCCTGGCTTATGCTTTGCTATGGTGGCCGTCAGACGGGGTCAGCTGTTCAAGAGGGAACCTCCCTCATCTGTCTGTTCCTCCAGCACACTGGGCAGCTACACCATGCGATGGGCTCCGTCATTATTTAGTCAGTCGAACCAGAGCAATTAGGCAGAAGAGGAGATTTTTAAATTGCCACAGCCTGTAGAAAGTCCAAATAGAAGTAAGCTTTTGGTTCAGACCCAGGCTAATGCAGCCATGGTTTTCTGCACAGCTTTCTTCTGGGAGCATCTCAACTTTCTTTTAGGCAATCGATGATAAAATGCCAGAAACGTGAGACGCGGGAAGGGCGGGGAGGTGCCTGTTTTGCTCATGTCTGCGCCTGCAGCACCAGGCTGCGTATCCCGTGGGGACGCTGGAGCGTCCGTGACACTCATGAATAAGTCAGTGAACCCAGCACCTCCCTTTCCAGAGGGGGAACCAAGGACCACTAGGGGCAAGTCCAGCCCAGCAGTTCAGAGAACGCTCTGGAAGGACTCAGCTTGCCAGCTCTGCTCTGCTCTGCCTGGGGAGGTGGAGGGGGGATGCGAGGGTAAGGGCTCCGGTCCAAGGCCACCCCGAGAACCCTTGTGCTGCCCTTGGGTCTGGTGGCCACGTCCCCCTCTGCCCCCTCGCACAGCCACTGGGAGACAGAGCTCAGGGGTGTCGGCCAGCTTCCTGCTAACTGCCCGGACTTTGTTCAGACCTACCTCTTCTCGTAAACCTAAAGTATGTATTTTGGAAGGGCACGTGCTTGATGTCTGAGCTCTCAGAATGTCTCGTCTGATCTGCTGTGGAGGAAAGTTGCCTTAGAAGAAGGTGCCAGCAGGTGGGAGAACCATCTCTCTGTAACTCACGCAGGGACCGTGCCGGTCTGGGACCCACCTGAGAAGAAAGGTGCCAGCAGGTGGGAGAACCATCTCTCTGTGACTCACGCAGGGACCGTGCCGGTCTGGGACCCACCCAAGGACGCACTGACTTCTGTGGACTCGCTCTCCGGCCCGCTGCCCCAGCCCTACCGCCTCATCACTCACATTTAATGCAAGGTGGCATCGGTGACTGCCAAGCGTGGGCTCACCAGGAAGCCCCCAGTTGACAGCTCTTCCTCTGCTGAAGGATAAAAACACCCAGACTCGCAGTGAGGGTGCCCACTGTTTAAAAAAGAAGCTGCACTTTCCTCCGCAAAAGGGCTTGGCCAGCAGCGTGGTGCGCCCTGGACCGGCTCTGATGGGGCTTCCAGGGAGGACCCCCAGCGGGCCTGTGGTGTGGAGGGTCAGAAGGAGAGGGAGGGGCAGGCGGCCACCACTGGTCCATGGCCTGAAAGGTTTGGGCCCGCCAGCCCCCACCCCCCGCCTTCTGCTGCTGTGGGGCCTGATGGGAATGCGTCCCACCTGCGAATCCAGCGGGTAGCGTTAGAGCCTTGGCAGATGGGCTGGATTTGGCTTCTCTTTGGGTTGCGGGTGACGATAGGTGTGCAGCCTGGGGCAGAGATGGACACACAGGGCCATGCTGACATCGGGGGAAGAGGCCACAGCAGTTCCACGTGAGGGTCACGGTCGATGGAACTCCTCTCTCCACATACTTGGCTCCCCAGGGAGAAGGAAGGTCGGGGTGCCTCTGCCGGGCGTCTTTGCAAGTGTGAGGAGGAGACCACTCTGCTCGGTCGGCTCTGCTCTGAGTCTGGACGAGCACCCACGCTCGTGCCTGGTGCGCAGGACAGGTCCGAACAGACTCAGGCTTCCCCTGTCCCTGTGTAGCACCATGTGCCCGAGCCACAGGCCCTCCCTCTGCTGTTACCGATGGGTTCTGCTTGTCACTGGGACCTCTTTCCCGAGCCGACAACTCATCCATCGGGACGGAACCAAGCGAGATGCCAACTCGGGGCCACAGTTTTCAGCGGCCATTCAGGAGGGTCTGCTCTGCCCAGCGTGGTACCAAGCCAGGCACCGAGAAAAGAATGACAGCACCCGCCCTCTGGTCAGGGGTCCACGGGGATGGAGACTCCCTGCTAGTTTTTAGGGTTAGGGCAGGACACCCCGCTTTATAGCAGAGTTTGTAGTGGCAAGAAATTGCCAACTGTTTAACTATCCATCAGAGTGCACTGGTTAACTAACGCACTATAAACCATTCCTGGCTCCAAGCTCCAAGACCATTAGGTAGGAAAAGCAGGTTGTGCGACAGTGTGTGAAGCTGATCCGATGACTGTAAAGGCCTGTGTCAAGCATGCACATGTGTGTGCGTGTGATGAGCACACATTAGGGTTGGGCACACGCCCTGCCGTCTGGGGTTGCTTCTCAGAGGCGCGTGCCGAGGGCCCGGGGATGGCAACGCCCTTCCGTGCAGAAGGCGCCTGGGTGGGTCTTGCGGAATAGACGCGTGAGGACGACCCGCAGGGTGGAGTCCGGCCTGGCCAGGGCTGGAAGTCATAGGACGAAAGGTAGAGGTGAGAAGAGGCAGTTCTGTGAAAGAAGCCCCGACCTCGAGCTGGGACTTTGAATTGGTTTGCGTTTGAAAACCGGGGTTGGTAAAAGCTGGGCACCCACACCTCTCCTTCTGTTGCAGCTGGTGGCAGCGATCGTGTTTATCAGTTTTGGCGTGGTGGCCGCCTTCTGCTGCGCCATCGTGGACGGCGTATTTGCAGCACAGCACATTGTGAGTACATTGTCATTGTGTGCACAGTCGCTTTCCGGGGCTGAAAGAGTCGACGTGAAAAAAGTACAATTTCATTTTGCAGATCTCAGCTCAGACGGCTTCACCGTCAGTCTCCACGCTGGGGGTTGCCAGTGACTGTCTCTCCTCTCAGTAAGTCTCATTTCCTACACAACGAACTTCCCTCTCCACACAGACTACACACACCACACAACACACAGAGCACACAGCACACACCACAACAGAGCACAGAGCACACACACCACAACAGAGCACACAGCACACAACACACAGAGCACACAGCACACACACAACACAGCACACACCACACAACACACAGAGCACACAGCACACACACCACAACAGAGCACACAGCACACACCACACACCACACAACACACAGAGCACACAGCACACACACAACAGAGCACACAGCACACAACACACAGAGCACACAGCACACACACCAAAACAGAGCACATAGCACACACCACACAACACACAGAGCACACAGCACACACACAACAGAGCACACAGCACACACACAACAGAGCACACAGCACACACACCAAAACAGAGCACATAGCACACACCACACAACACACAGAGCACACAGCACACACACCATAAGAGTACACAGCACACAACACACAGAGCACACAGCACACACACAACACAGCACACAGCACACACCACACAACACACAGAGCACACAGCACATACACAACAGAGCACACAGCACACACACAACAGAGCACACAGCACACAACACACAGAGCACACAGCACACACACCATAACAGAGCACACAGCACACAACACACAGAGCACACAGCACACACACAACAGAGCACACAGCACACACCACACAACACACAGAGCACACAGCACACAACACACAGAGCACACAGCACACACACAACAGAGCACATAGCACACACCACACAACACACAGAGCACACAGCACACAACACACAGAGCACACAGCACACACACAACAGAGCACATAGCACACACCACAGAGTACACACCTCACACACCACACAGAGCACACGCCTCACACACCACACAGAGTACACACCTCACACACCACACAGAGCACATACCACACAGAGTACACACCTCACACCACACAGAGTACACACCTCACACCACACAGAGCACACACCTCACACACCACACAGAGCACACACCACACAGAGCACACACCACACAGAGTACACACCACACACACCACAGAGAGCACACACCACACACACTACACACACCACACAGAGCACACAGCACACACACCACACAGAGCACACACCACACACACATACACACCACACCACGCTCTTTTCACCTCTAAATGAACAGGTTTTCTCTAAAGTCGCAGGCCAAGGAATCGTTTCTGTGTCCTCCTGAGGTGCGTCCTCAGCCTCCGGTGGGCTGCGCCATCCCCCCTCCTCCCTGGCTGGGCTCCTGGGTGGGCTCTCGCCATCTGGGCGTCAGCTGGTCCCCGGGAGCAGCCGAATTGCTTGTCATGAACTCTCAGACCAAACCTGTGATTGTTTCTCCCTCTTTTTCCATAAATCACACTGAAAGGCACTGAAGGTTGGTGTTAGGCCTTTGTCTGCCCCAACGGTTTCATTATATGAAGGCAAGTGTGGGAGCACATTCACAAAACACACGTGCGTGCGCACGCATGCACACACCACGGCCCACATGCTCACACTCGCGCGCACACACACACTCCCACGGAGGTGCGTCATGGGAGCTTTCTCAGCGGGTGGCTGGGTGACTTGCTATTCTATGGCTTCCAGACGGTGGTTTCCACTGTGCTCCAGGCGCCCGTGGCCGTGGCCCCGCCGAGGAGCAGGGTCCAGTCTCTGACCGCAGTCGGGGGTGTCCCCAGGTTCCGGACCTCGGGCGCCTGTCCATTCTGGAGGGCCACGCGGGGCATGCATCTAGGCAAGTGTGGGAGCCTCTTGGTTAGAAACAAAGCAGGGCCCCTGGCCGGGGCCTCCCAGGGCTGACTTTAGGACGGATGCGCAGACAGCACTCACTGGAGCTCAGATGCCATCGAGGAAAATGTGGCACTGCCTCGTGTGCTGCTGAGGAAGAAGACAGATGGTGAATTACAGCTCTAAGGGCGTCATATGGGGAGATGCGTGCCTTCCAACTGTTGAGAGAGGCCGAGGACACCGTGCTGCTAGGCCTCTGTCCCCATGGGGTTCCGGCACACCGCCCTCCCTCCCAGCAGGAGCCTCTGTCCGTGGGGTTGGGGTGCACTGCCCTCTCTCCAGGAAGGAGCCTCTGTCCCCTTGGGCTACTCATTGTTACCTGTGGTCTCATGTCTGTCCCCTCAGGGGAAGATAAACACCCAGAGACAGAGACTTGTGTCTGCTTCCTCCATTGCTGTGTCACCTAGAACGCATCCGGCCATAATAGTACTTCACCAGTGGGGGCCCAAAGGACCGATGAGTGATTCTCATTCTCATCTGTTGCAGTGTTACTAGTGGTTTCTAATACTTTTCTTGGTTCAGAACTAGGAGCCTTTGAGAAATACTAATAAAACTAAACGTGGGCAATGTGACCCTAGCTTATTTGCAGGTGATGCAGTTTTGTGGCATTTTAGTTTTGGTACTTCCTGCTGTCCTCTACCATAGCAATTATAAGCACTTTGCAATGGTCAGTTTATGGGTCTGTCTTCTTCACTAGTCTATAAATCCCTTAAGGGCAAGAACTGTGTCTCGTTATCCTTACCATTTGGCACTGTGTCTGCTCCATGAATGTTGCAGATGGTCGGATGGATTGATAGTTGGATAGGGCCACAAATGGGTGTATGGCTGAATGGTTGGATGGATGGATAGAAGGATGGATAATGGGTGGATGACAGGAATGGATGGATGGGTGGATGTGGATGAATGGAAGTATGGATGATGGATGGATGGATAGAAGGATGGATGATGGATGGATGGATGGATGTGGATGAATGGAAGGATGGGTGATGGATGTGGATGGATAGAAGGATGGATGATGGATGGATAGATAGGAGGATGGATAACGGATGATGGATGGATGGTGGACAGATGGAAGGATGGAAGTATGGATGACAGATGGGTGAATGGATGGATGTGGATGAATAGAAGGATGGATAATGGATGGATGATGGATGATGGATGGACAAAAGGATGGATGACAGATGAATGGATGGGTGGATGTGGATGAATCGAAGGATGGATAATGGATGGATGATGGATGGATGGTTGGATGATGGTTGGATGGATGGATGTGGATGAATGGAAGGATGGATGATGGATGTGGATGGATAGAAGGATGGATGATGGATGGATACATAGAAGGAGGGATAATGGATGATGGATGGATGGATGGAAGGATGGATGACAGATGGGTGGATGGATGGATGTGGATGAATGGAAGGATGGATAATGGATGGATGATGGGTGGATGGATGGAAGGATGGATGGATACATGGATGGATGGATGGATGGATGAAGTATGGATGACAGATGGGTGGATGGATGGATGTGGATGAATGGAAGGATGGATGATGGATGCATTATGGATGAATGAATAGATAGATGTAGAGGATGGAAGGAAGAATGGGTGGATGCACAGATGATTGATTGGATGATTGGATGGATGGTTGGGTGGGTGGGTGGATGATTGGATGGTTGGAGGGATGAGTTTATTGGTCTGAAATCCTTCTTGCTACCTTCCTAGTAGAAGAGACAATATTTTCTTTTATGAAACGATGCAGGAGCCTAACACCTGTGATGTGGGGTGGTAGGGATGCCCCTCAAAAGGCCAAGCACCTGTCTCCCTTCTGCTGCCCTTGTTGACTGATGGAGAATATGCATGGCCCGAGGTACCCTCCCATGGGGCTTTCTGCTGTCTGGCCTCCTGGATGCAGCAGCCCAGCTGCTCTGCAGGGAGCGTGGAGTCTCCCATCTTGTGTTCTGTGTCTGGGAGGCTCAAGTTGGTGTTGGCCTTGGTCCTTGAGGCCCTGAGCCTGAGACCCACAGGCCTGAAATTGCCTCTGGCCTCTCCCGCCTGGAGGCACCTGTTTTATTCCATCTGTGTTTATCTGTTTCTCTAGGAACCGAGGCCCCTCACCACGGGAAGATGCCAGTTTTACTCCAGTGGGGTGGGGTACTTGTACGATGTCTACCAGACAGAGGTGAGCAGGAGCACTGAGATTCATGTGGGTTTTGCTCAGCTAACCCCGCCGACCCCACGCGGTTTTCCCTGCACATAGGCGTGGTCTGAATATTTTGATTCTAATAGTTCCTGGGGGTCACCCCTGCAGCTGGTGAACCGTTGATGCCCCCTGTGTTTGGGACCTTGACATTTCGATGTGCTGTATTTCACTCTGGAGTCAGAGTTCTGGACTTGCTTCATTAAATCACAACAGTCTCAGAGTGCACGTGTCCAGTTCTGTATGGCTCTTCCAATTAGCATTTTTCTAATTTAATTATTGCAATAAGAAGCAAGGATAATACATTTACAGTGTCCGAGAAACTTCTGGATTTCCCTGAGCCACCGACAGCGGCAGTGTGACCTCATTTCTCTTTCCAGGTGAGTGAGATGCGGGGAGTAATGACCCGCGGGCGGCCGCCGCCTTCGCCAGGACCGTCGGAGGGCACAGCTCTGTGACGGCGCTCTCTGTGTGTCTCGCACCTGCCCTGTGTGGATTCCTGGCTTTAACTAAACGCAGCCTCTCATCCTCAGCACGCGTGTCAGAGGAGGAGGAGCTGGAGGCCCTCTCAGTGGCCAGCACCTGCCAGCTTGTCTGGGACTCTCCAGCAGCTGCCGGGAGGCATCGTGTGTGTGTGTGTGTTTATGTGTGTGTGTGTGGGGGGGGGTAGGCAGGAGGCGTCCCGTGTGTGTTTAGGGGGGAGGTGTCCTGTGTGTGTATGTGTATGTGTGTGTGGAGGTGTCCTGTGTGTGTGTGTGGGGGGGGGTAGGCGGGAGGCATGCCATGTGTGTATGTGGGGGGGAGGCATCCTGTGTGTGTGTGTGTGGAGGTGTCCTGTGTGTGTGTGTCAGGGGAGGCGTCCTCTGTGTGTGTGTGTGTGTGTGTGTGTGTGTGTGTGTGTGTGTTGGGGGGTGTCCCCTGGCCAGGGCTTTCAAGGTTGTCACACAGAGGTGGCAGGTGTCTCTTCTGAGGCTGCCAGTGCTCAAGCCTGGGGGGAGAGCGCCCTGGGACGGGGCCTGTTCTGCCGCCCTCCGGGCTCTCAGGCTTCTGTGCACCCCACGCCGAAGGCCTCCTGGGCTCTGTCCTTCTGCCCACGCACCCTGATATTTCCCTCTGCTCCTGGGATCATGGAGAAGCAAGGCCTCTCCTCTGAGCCCCGATTATCCGGCCTCTGGGACCAGCCTGTGCCCCTGACCCCTCCTGCAGGAAGGGTCCTGGCCCCCGAGCCCCCAAGCCTCTGTGTCTGGAGTCGGGGGAAAGTCGGGGGAGGCAGCTGCTTGGCTGGGCCTCAGTGGCCGCTCCCAGCTCCCATGAGGCAGCCCTGCCCTTGGTGGGGTGGGTGAGGTGGTGGGCACCGGCATGTGACCTGACAAGGCCTCTCTGCCCCAGGTCACCTGTCACTCCCTGGACGGCAAGTGCCAGCTGAAGGTGAGAAGCAACACCTGTTACTGCTGTGACCTCTATGCCTGCGGGAGGTGAGGGGCACCGGGGACCCCCATATCTACACCTGCGGGAGGTGAGGGGCGCTGGGGACCCCCGTATCTACACCTGCGGGAGGTGAGGGGCGCTGGGGACCCCTATATCTACACCTGAGGGAGGTGAGGGGCGCTGGGAACCCCCGTATGTGCCTGCAGGGGTGAGGCCTCCATCCTTCTGCTCCTGACATCACCCCCCCCACACCCCTGCACCTACATCGTCTCCTTTACTCCTTAGATGTTTACATGAGGAAAGGACATTGAGTCCATTTCACAGATGAAAAGACAGAGGCTCTGAAATGTTGATCTGCCCAAGAGGACACAGCCCGTGTGTGTCGGGCGAGAGTTTAAACCTGGCCTGGCCTCTGAGGCCCCAGGCATGGCCCCCTCTTGGGACAGGGGCCCGTGACCCCGACGGCCTTCCCATCCTGGCGTGAAGACAGAGATGGCTCAGCCGGGGCCCAGACACCCGTCCTGCCAGGCCATCGAGGCGGAGGGGCGGGCCCGCCAGGCCCAGTTGCCGCTCTTTGCCACTGTGGGCCCCAGGTGGGGAGCCTCACAGGCCAATCCCATCAGACATAGGTTTGATCTCCCAGAGCAGTGCAGGGATGGGCGTTGACTGGGCTCCAGCCCTGATTTCCTCCCCCAGCCCTGCAGGGCTCAGGTCCAGAGGACACAAGTTTAACTTGCGGGTGGTCACTTGCCTCGTGCGGTGACGCCATGGTGCCCTCTCTGTGCAGCGCAGAGCCCTCGCCCGCCTACTATGAGTTCATCGGCGTCAGCGGCTGCCAGGACGTGCTGCACCTGTACCGCCTGCTCTGGGCCTCTGCAGTTCTGAACGTCCTGGGCCTGTTCCTGGGCATCATCACCGCCGCCGTCCTGGGGGCCTTCAAGGACATGGTGAGGCCCCTTGGTGGGACCCCCGCTGCTCACTGGGAGCCGGGGCTCCGGGTCCATTTCCCCGGGGTGGGCTGGGGGGCCTCCAGCCCTCACTTTACAGATGGGGCACTGAAGCCCATGCGTCTGTCAGCAGGGTGTCAGGGTGACAGCTGGCGTGCACCGACTCACCTCGGGGCCGTCCTGTCCCAAGCCTGTCACAAGAATCACCTGATTTAATCCTTGCCTCCCCGCTGAGGTGGGCACAGCCGTCCCCAAGAAACAATGTTCAGCTCCAAGAGGGAGGCCCAGCCCTTGTGCACTAAGCTCCCATCATTAGCAACTGCCTGGGGCTTCAGATGGGCAGGTCTGGGCTGGGGCTGAGCTGATGCCTTAGCAAACCCCAGAGGCGAGACCCATACAGCCAGGATTGGCCTGGGCAGGAGGAGGGAGGGAAGGGGCCCCTCGCGGGAGGTGGGCTGGACCCATCCTGGAAAGGCCGGCCCTCGCCCGGGAAACCACAGGGAAATCACTGGCCCGGGCCGGATGTCCTCTCTCTTCTCCCTCCTCTGCCCTCTCCTGGCGCCTGTTTCAAACCAGATGTTCTCGTGGTGTGCGGCCAGCAAACCCCGCCCCCTGAACTTGCAGAGAAGCTGTAAGGGATGGGCAGCCAGGAGTGAGGGAGCCCCAACCCCCAGAGTATCCAAACGGCAGCCCAGGGACGAGGGGCGCCCCCTCTTGCACCCACATGAGGAGGCCTGGCAGCACCAGGCAGACGCACATCATGCAGGCCAGACCCGGCCCAGCGAGGCAGCGAAAACACTCCTGAGCGGCTTCTCCATGCCCTATTCGTCCCAGAGGCTGTCCATGACTAAAAATTAGCTCAGCTGGGAACCCTCCTGCCATCTGCTTCTCAGCTCCTCCTTTTCTCAACACTTTTGTGCTTCCAGACAAAACTGGTGAAGCTGAGAGTGACCCTGGCATCCCGAGGTCCAGCCCTCTGGCTCCCCACCCAGTGGCCCCCCAAGCCCCACCCTGGGCCCCCAGACGCCCGCACACCAACACAAGACAGGCACCTCCCAGGGGTCCTTGCTCTGTGGTGACAGCCGGCCGGCCCCTGCGGTGGGAGCGGGAGTCTGGGGTCGGGAAGGGTCTCTGCCGGGATCTCGCGGGCTCCGGGCGCCTTTGGCGTCTCCTCGGTGCAAGCTTCTCTGCCTCGGCAGCTCAGTGTCTCCTCTCAGCGGCCGTCCCAGGAGGAACTGCAGCCGGATTGTAGACAGGACACAGAAACGCTTGTCTGGTGCAGGCGCCATGCTCGCCACACAGGCCCGGGGTGTCCAGGGTTTTCCGGAAGGGGCTCGTGTGTTCATTAAAGCCCGTGATAAAATGCTGGAGTGCAGGATCAGGAACAGGTGATACCTCCAGGGCCAGCCCGCAATGCAGAGCCACACCGGCTCCAGGAAGTCTTCCTCGAACCCAAAGCTCAGGGCTGCAGAGCAAGGAGAGGACTTGCTAACCTTCACACCCACCAAGCAGGCCCTCTTGTGAGTTTAACTGATTTTGCCATTTAAACATTTTGTTAAGGAATGAAGATGCTTCCTTCATTCCTTAACATTCCAAGCTGGACGTGCCCTTCGTAGACGAGGGCAAATTACTTGTGATGGGTGCGTGGGAGGCACTTAACGTGCCGGCAAGGGCGGGCGGCTGAGCCAGCCTCTCAGGGGCCTCCTCCGCGTGTGACTCCGTGGCCCCCGTGTTCTCTGCTTTCTGTGCACTCGCCCCGGCCCCATCCTCAGGCCACCGCCAGCTCAGAGGCCTCCCCACCCCTCTACCTGTCAGAACTGCAAATCTCCTGCCCCTCCCTCACGGAGCACGACCCTCCATGCCCATCCAACCTCCCAGGCCCACCTCGGCTGCCCCCCTGCTCTCTGCAGGGTCTGAGGCAGAAGCACGGCCTCCTGCACATGTGGACCAAGGACCAGCTGCCCAGAAGGCCCTGCCCCTTCCCACCTTCCAGTGCCCGCTGGGCAGGGGGCTCCCTCCCAGCCCCAGGGGTGCGGGCAGCACCGTTGTCTGAGGACACCTCAGGCCTGGGGTCATCACCCTGTCCCGGGGTTTTCACCGTGTCCCCGGGTTGTCACCGTGTCCCCGGGTCGTCACCGTGGCCAGCCCCTCGCAGCGGCTCTGGCCTGGCTTCCCCGCCTTTGCCATCTTCCCCTGGCTTCCTCCAGGGTGCTGCTGAACCTGGGGGTGGGGGCTGGGGAAGGTGGAGGGGCACCTGTGTGAAGGTGGGGAGGGAGGCGAAGCCCGGGTGCCCTCGGCCCAGTCCCCGCGTTTCTGGCCCGGGGAAGCCCTGAAGCTTGTGTGAGCCATGGGCCCCTCCCTCTGTAGGGGATGAGGCCGGCCGGGGCCTGAGTTGGAGCCAGCACCTTCTTTGGAGAATTTTAACTGCCTGAGTGAGTCAGTGAAAGTGTGGACGGGAGCTCAGGAGACTTTGGTTTTGTTCGCATTCCCCAGAAACCCCACGCTGGTTGGGGCACAGGCTTGGGGAAGCGAGAGCCATCAGCCCGGTGCTGAGAGGGCCCTCCCCACCTGCACCCTTCTGTGCCGAAAAAGCAGACTTTGGGGCCCGGAGAGAAGGAAACCAGTGCTTTTTTCTCCCCCCCCAAAAAATCAAAAAAGTAAAAGAGAGCCCGAGCCGAGCGGTCACCCAGTGTGACTAGCAGGTGGCGGGGCCCTGGGACCAAGATGTAGAGAACCTCAGTGTAAAGCTACGCCGGGCCGGGGTTAGCTCCAGCCTGGGTATAAACGCACGCCGGGCCGGGGTTAGCTCCAGCCTGGGTATAAACGCACGCCGGGCCGGGGTTAGCTCCAGCCTGGGTATAAACGCACGCCGGGCCGGGGTTAGCTCCAGCCTGGGTATAAACGCACGCCGGGCCGGCGTTAGCTCCAGCCTGGGTATAAACGCACGCCGGGCCGGGGTTAGTTCCAGCCTGAGAGTCGGGGGTCGAGGGTGCTGGGCTTTCTAGGAAGGCTGGACAGCCCTTCCCTCCACTAGGGGGTACACGCCGACCACCCGTCTCCTCTCCATGGCAGGTGCCTCTGTCCCAGCTGGCCTATGGCCCAGCCGTCCCACCACAGACCCTCTACAACCCCGCCCAGCAGATCCTGGCCTACGCAGGCTTCCGCCTGACGCCCGAGCCCGTCCCGACCTGCTCGTCCTACCCTCTGCCCCTTCAGGTAGGGCCAGCATCACCTGCTGGAGTTGGACGCGCTGGTCACAGGCAGTGGGATGGACAGGATGGGGCTGGGGTCGGAGGGGATGAGGTCTTGCAGCCGCCTCACCTTCTGGATTAGGGATGGGAGGTGGGGGGCAGTGACAACCCTGCCGTCAGGGCACAACCTCCCTGCAAGTATGGCCGGGGACCGCGCCAGGTGGCCCTGGTGACCCGCCACCATGCTCTGCCGGCAGCTGGCTCTTCTGACCCCGGGGCTGGCCCCGCACAGGCCTGGGCAGCTCCCCGCTGCAGTGGTGGAGGCTCCTGCGTTTGTCTGCTGGTGGACATCCTGTGGGCATGGCCAGGTTATTTAGGTGGAGCCATATGGATCTGCCAAAATCCAACCCCATTTTACCCGCAGACGTGGAGACATCATAGGGTTCATCCTGACATGATGCTATTGACCTTGGAGATGACGGAGGGAGAGGCCATGGTGGGGGGCGAGCAGGACAGTGGCCCCTGCCTGCCTGTCCGATTTCCACTCCTGGGCATGACCGCCTTCTGTGCCATGAAGCTCTGTGCTGTGGCCATGGGTGAAACAGACCGGGCCACGTTTCTTACCTCGGCACTGTAGGCATTCAGGGCTGGCCAACCGCTGTGCTGGGGCACCCTAGGTGCTGAGGGTGCTGGTGGGCCCTGGCCTCTGCCTGCGGCATATCAGAGCCGCCGGTGTGACAACCCAAACTCTCCGGACGTGTCCCGTGTCTCCTGCCTGGACGTGCCGTGTGCCCCCGGGGACACAGTTGAGAACCCTGGTCCTGATAAACGTGGGCTTCCTTTCTGGGTGGGAGGCACTGCCCACATGCCCGGCTGACTGGCAGGTCCTTTTGCGTGAGTTAACAGCAGCCTCTGCAGAGAGAGCTGTGTCAGGCCCAGCCCGATGAAGCTGCAGATTAAAGCAGGCACCGTGATGTGTTTCTGTGCGGGGAAGGGCAGGGTGAACGTGGGGAGTCGTGAGTTTTGAAGTCACACATGACACAGGTCTTCAGATATTCCACAAGAGGACCCTCTCCCGACACATGACGTTGTCAGGAAAAGATCTTCCTTAGAGGGACATCCGGGGGAGGCCTGTGCACACTCTGCCCTCACGTCCAGGACAGAGAGGGCTCAGGTTTGAGCGGGGCCCGAGAGCCACGACCTTCTCAGCTCACCTGGGGACCTGCACCAGGGACCCCGAGGAGGGAGCAGGAACCAGCACTCATGGAGATGGTGCGTCTGGGGGTCCCTGGGGTCCAGGGGCCTGTGGGGCTGCTGGGGGTCCCTCGCGTTCAGGGCCTGCTTGGGTCAGCCACCTTCAGCCATGCCCGGGACACAGCAGCTGTTGGGCTCAGTGGAGATGACCAGGGCCTGACAACATCTCCTCGTGGAGGGATCCCTGCACCTCATACCTCAGTCTCCCCTCTCACTTCGAATATAAAGCTGGGGCCCTGCTCCCTGGGAACACAAGGCCCCTGCTGGAGGTCTGGCCTGGAAACATCTTTTCCATTTCTGTGACGGGGGAAGATGTGGTCCCCAGGGTCAGATGGCGGGAGCTTTTGCCAGCGACCCTGCAGTGGTCACTCCTGCAGGCAGGCGCGTCTGCTTGGTGCCACAGGCAGCTTCATCCTTCCCCAAGCCTCCTGCCCCTGCCCCAGGGACGTCCCCATCATGGCAGGGACCGTGCCCCCAGGGCCACAGCCCTGTCCTGGGGGCTTCTCTCTGGCCTCCTGGTCTCCCGTGGGAAGTTTGCCAAGCCCAGAACTGGAGGCCCGCAGGGGTAGAAGGAGGAGGCCCGCAGGGGCAGAGGTATCTCCAGGGACGCTGGGCCTGCAGGTGCTCCCCAAGCGGCTCTACACAGACACAGACTTGGAATCGCATGGGTGCCAAGAACGTGCAGCCCAGAGCATAGCCTCGGTGGCCCATGCTGTCTTCCATCCTCAACCTCAGCCGCTGCCCCTCAGGGCCCCAGAGGAGAGACAACACGTGGTTCCATCAGCCCCTTCCTCTTCTCTGGCTCCAGGGCTGGTTTGGGCCGCCCTGGTGCTGGGGCCCGGCTGTCTGAAGCTCTGGCTGTGAGGGGCCCGGCTTCTCCAAGTTTGCATTCTGACTTGGGACCTTGGAGACAGTGAGGCTTTGTGGAGGGAGGGGCTGGTGACTCCCTCAGGCAGGTGTGTCCTCCCTGCCTGTGAGCCCCACGGAGGTGTAAGATGTGGGGGTGGTCCTTCCCGTCACACGCAGGCTTACGGGATGTGGAGGGTGGTCCTCCCTGTCACACGCAGGCTTACGGGATGTGGGGGGCGGTCCTCCCCGTCACACGAGGGCTTACGGGATGTGGGGGTGGTCCTCCCTGTCACACGTGGGCTTACGGGATGTGGGGGGTGGTCCTCCCCGTCACACGCAGGCTTACGGGATGTGGGGGTGGTCCTCCCCGTCACACGCGGGCTTATGGGATGTGGAGGGTGGTCCTCCCTGTCACACGCAGGCTTACGGGATGTGGGGGGTAGTCCTCCCCGTCACACGCAGGCTTACGGGATGTGGGGGTGGTCCTCCCTGTCACACGTGGGCTTACGGGATGTGGGGGGTGGTCCTCCCTGTCACACGCAGGCTTACGGGATGTGGGGGGCGGTCCTCCCCGTCACACGCAGGCTTACGGGATGTGGGGGTGGTCCTCCCTGTCACACGTGGGCTTATGGGATGTGGGGGGTAGTCCTCCCCGTCACACGCAGGCTTACGGGATGTGGGGGGCGGTCCTCCCTATCACAGGAGGGCTTACGGGATGTGGGGGGTGGTCCTCCCCGTCACACGCGGGCTTACGGGACGTGGGGGGCACAGGGGCAGATCCACTTCATCCCCATGGTGCTCCATCCTCATCCACCCTGGGGCTCTGGGTTTACGCAAAGGGTGGATGTTCCCCTCTTCCTCTGGGGAGGCCTGGGGCCCTCAGATGGCCCAGCCAGCCTTTGTGCCAGGCCAGCATGTGTGGGAGCTTAATATACGCACGCTGATAATTGGATTTCAGAGATGGCAAATCAGATGAGGCTCATGTGCTCCTCAGAAGAACAATGGAGGAGGGGCCCTGCTTCCACAGAGATGGAGAGAAAATATTCAGGGTGTTCCATGGAAGTCGTTAGCAGCAGAAAATACTCCCACTTGAGACAGTGGGGGATGGGGAACAGTGACTTGGTGGGGGAGGTTTTGAGCAGTTAATAAAAAGGACAATTTAAAGAGATCACCTTCCTTGCACCCAGCAGCTTTGCCAGGCATGAAGTGCAGGGGAGGACGTGGCATCACAGCAGAAGATGAGTTCCTGCCCCGTTACTAAGAAACATGCCCTCCCTTCCCCTGTGAGATTACTCGTGGGCAGGGCTTGTCCCTAGGGGGGCCCTGTCATTCAGTGGTTAACCCCGTGGTCCCAGGGTTTACTCTGTGGTTCCTGGGGGTTTATTCCATGGTTCCTGGCGGTTTACTCCATGTTCCTGGGGGTTTACTTTGTGGTCCTGGGGGGTTTACTCCATGGTTCCTGGGGTGTTTACTCCGTGGTTCCTGGGAGTTTACTCCATGGTTCCAGGGGTATTTATTCCGTGGTTCCTGGGTGGTTACTCTGTGATTCCTGAGGGTTTAACTCTGTGGTTACTGGGGGTTTACTTCGTGGCTCCTAGGGGTTTGTTCTGTGGTTCCTGGGGGTTTACTCCGTGGTTCTTTGGGGTTTAACTCTGTGGTTTCTGGCGGTGTAACTCTGTGGTTCCTGGGGGGGGGGTTACTCCATGTTTCCTGGGGGTTTACTCCGTGGTTCCTGGGGGTTTACTCCTTGGTTCTTGGGGATTTATGCTGTGGTTCCTGGGGGTTTGCTCCATGGTTCCTGGGGGTTTACTCTGTGGTTCTTGGGGATTTATGCTGTGGTTTCTGGGGGTTTACCTCTGTGGTTCCTGGGGAGATTACTCTGGTTCCTGGGGCTTTACTCCATGGTTCCTCGGGGTTTACTCTGTGGTTTTTGGGGGGAGGTTATGCTGTGTTTCCTGGGGGTTTACTCTGTGGTTCCTGGGGGTTTACTCCATGGTTCCCGGGGGCTTAACTCTGTGGTTCCTGGGGGGAGGGGTTACTCTGTGGTTCCTGGGAGTTTACTCTGTGGTTCCTGGATGTTTACTCCATGGTCCTGGGGGTTTACTCCATGGTTCTTGGGGATTTATGCTGTGGTTCCTGGGGGTTTACTCTGTGGTTCCTGGGGGTTTAACTCTGGTTCCTGGGGGTTTACTCTGTGGTTCCTGGGGGTTTACTCCATGGTTCCCGGGGGTTTAACTCTGTGGTTCCTGGGGGGAGGGGTTACTCTGTGGTTCCTGGGAGTTTACTCTGTGGTTCCTGGATGTTTACTCCATGGTTCTTGGGGATTTATGCTGTGGTTCCTGGGGGTTTACTCTGTGGTTCCTGGGGGTTTAACTCTGGTTCCTGGGGGTTTACTCTGTGGTTCCTGGGGGTTTACTCCATGGTTCCCGGGGGTTTAACTCTGTGGTTCCTGGGGGGAGGGGTTACTCTGTGGTTCCTGGGGGGAGGGGTTTACTCCGTGGTTCCTGAGAGTTTACTCCATGGTTCCTGGGGGTTTACTCCGTGGTTCCTGAGTTTTACTCCGTGGTTCCTGGGGGTTTACTCCGTGGTTCCTGAGTTTTACTCCATGGTTCACTCGGTGGTTCCTAGGGAGTTACTCCATGGGTTCCTGGGGTTTATCTGTGGTCCTGGGGTTTACCCCTTAGTTTCCTTAACTGCTCATCTGCTGTGAAGAAGAGTGGGTGCTACAGAGTTGGAAGTTGGGAGCTCCCAGCAGACTTGAGAGAATGTTCCCTAGTGTCTCACTCTGTCGCCTGTGGCCAGAAACCTGTGTGAGTTTCGGGGGAAGAAAGAAATGAGGTTGGCAGGTGTCCCTGAACCACTGGATCCCATGAGCCTGGGCTGTCAACCTCAACATTGCAGTCCCTCTGAGGAAGGGCCCCATTCTCAGCCTTACCTACACCTGTGCAGAAATTCTGCTGTCAGGATCCAGAGGTCCTGCTAGCTCCCAGGGCGTCTGCAGTGCAGAGCTCTCCAGGGAGAGGCTCAGACAGGCAGCTGGCTTCTCTGGGGATGCTGAACACGCAGGCTCAGACAGGCAGCTGGCTTCTCATGGGACCCTGCAGGCTGGGGCAAGAGGAGCACAGAGCACATCTGGTAGCTTGGAGTTTGAAAAACTCTTCCTGTGTTATTTCTTAGAAGGAGTTTGTTTGCTTTATTTATTTAAAATTTGATTAGAAGTTCCCCCTAGAATTTAAGGGGAAAAAAAGAAAAGAATTAAGATGTGTGTTAGCAGTTGGAGAAAAACTAGAATGTATCAATTTAAAATCTGTGCCGTTCTTCGCTTTTCTGGTCTCAGAATTACTTGGGTGGGTCTATGTGTGTTAGTCAGGGCTCTCTAGGGAAGCAGAGCCTATGGGAGAATACAGGTACCTACATATGAAGAGAGAGATCAATCCATCGATTCTGAATGACTGGCTGATGACTGTGGGCTTCAGGTGCACAACCACAGGGAGGGGGCAGGCTGGAGACCAGGGAGGGTGACGCTGCCCCGGGAGTGCCTAGGCCACTGGGGCAGAGTCCACTTCTCCTGGGGACCACAGCCTCTTTCCTTAACGCCTTCAGTGGAGAGGAGGGGCCGTCCGTGTCCAGGGGCTGAGGCACTGTACGCAAGGGTGTCAATCACACCTGAAGATGCCTCCACGGCAACACCCAGATGCGTGTGTGAGCCGCTGAGTCAGCCACGGTGACACTGAACCAGCCACACGCTGCTGGACGTGTGGACGTGTGGGGTTCATACGTGGGGCCTTTCCCAAATATGAAGAGTTGGGTGAGCCCAGGGGCCCCAGGCCTGGTGGACCCTAACTGTTGGTTTTGGAGTCAGGTCAGAGGCTCGCTGGCTGTGAGGAAGTGGGATGTGGTCTGAGGACACCCTTCCTGGGGCGTCCACCCCCTGCCCCATGCAGCTGTGGAGGCCAAGGTTGTGCCAGTGAGGCCCCGGCCACCCTCTCCTGTTCTGCCCCGGGCTGGGGCTGCTCCTTCTGGTGGCCCTGGGTCTGTGGGGTGGGGGCCCGTGAGAGTGGTCCTGGGTCTGTGGGGTGGGGGCCAGTGAGAGAGGTCCTGGATCTGTGGGGGGGGCCGGTGAGAGAGGTCCTGGGTCTGTGGGGTGGGGGCCCGTGACAGTGGTCCTGGGTCTGTGGGGGCCCGTGAGAGTGGGCCTGGGCCTGTGGGGGGGCCGGTGAGAGTGGTCCTGGGTCTGTGGGGTGGGGGCCGGTGAGAGAGGTCCTGGGTCTGCGGTGGGGGAGGGGGACGTAAGAGTGGCCCTGGGTCTCCGGGGGAGGGGAGGGGCGTGAGAGTGGCCCTGGGTCTGTGGGAGCCCGTGTGAATAGCCCTGGGTCTGTGGGGGGCCCGTGTGAATAGCCCTGGGTCTGCGGGGGGCCCTGTGTGAGTGGCCCTAGGTCTGAGGGGGCCTGTGTGAATAGCCCTGGGTCTGCGGGGGGCCCATGTGAATGGCCCTGAGTCTGCGGGTGGCCCTGGGTTGGCGGGGTGGGTGGGGAGCGTGTGAGTGGCCCTGGTATATGTCAGGCTTCCCTGTGGTCCGGCACGGGGTGGTCTCACCTGCTAACCCAGGGCCCTCTCTGTTTATTGCAGCCCTGCAGCCGCTTCCCAGTTGCGCCCTCCTCTGCCCTGGCTTCGTCTGAGGACCTGCAGCCCCCTTCTCCAAGCAGCTCTGGCTCTGGGCTTCCCGGCCAGGCTCCACCGTGCTACGCACCCACCTACTTTCCCCCGGGGGAGAAGCCACCCCCCTACGCACCCTGATAGAGGCGTGGAGTAAAAGATAACTTGTTTGTTTTTTTTTTTAAAAAAAAGGCAGCCTCTAGAAATCCCGCTTCTGTGGCCAACCTCCTAGAGAACCCGGGAGAATGTTCCAGAAGTCTGTCCCCTCCTTTCCTCCCTGGGCACACTGGTGAGGGAGGCTGGAACCAGGCAGGGAGTGGGGCCCTCCAGACCCAGGCTGGTGACACCTTGGCTTGGGCTCTGCTCACATCAAATGGCGCTGAAAGTTCCCACCCGGCCTCCTCCTCTGAGAGCAATTGTTCTGGTGTTTTCACATCCCTTAATTAATTAGCTATTATTATGATTTTGCAAAGACAGTGCAGCCCCGGCCTCCCTGCCTGTGTGTTCTTGTTTGTGGACATGTGTTGTGCGTTACACGTTCGTGTGTGCATCTGTGTCCTGGAGAAGCGCAGGGCAGAAGCCACCCGCCCCTCGTGCTGTGCTCCTGACGTATGCCAGGAAGGGAAGGACGCTTCGGCTCCAACGCCCAGCGCTGTGTCTAACCGCCTGTGAGTTGTTAGAATCCAGGGGCCCGGTTGTCTTTCCCAGCCCCGGATGCAAATCTGCCTGGGCCACTGGCACGAGGGTCTTCCCCTGAGCTGTCTCCCAGCTACGGCGCCTGGGCTTCCGCTGTCCTTCCGCGGCTTCTCCCTCACCGCACCTTGTCTCAGGACCCCTGGCCGCTGGGATGGTGGGGGACGGTGTTTCGGGGTCCTTTGGCTCAGGGTCTGGGGCCGCAGCACTCCCTGTGGAAACCAGCTTAGCTCCCCGCGGGCCCAGCATGCACCTGCCGGGCACACCTGGGGAGACGGGTGAGCACGCCTGGGAAGCAGCAGGTCCCGGGTGGGTCACAGGCCCCGGGTGGGTCACAGGACAGGTCTCAGGTGGGTCACAGGTCCTGAGTGGGTCACAGGTCCCGGGTGGGTCACAGGCATCCCGGGTGGGTCACAGGTCCCGAGTGGGTCACAGGCCCCGGGTGAGTCACAGGCCCCGGGTGAGTCACGGGTCCCGGGTGGGTCACGGGTCCCGGGTGGGTCACGGGCCCCGGGTGGGTCACGGGTCCCGGGTGGGTCACGGGTCCCGAGTGGGTCACGGGTCCCGGGTGGGTCACAGGCGCCCCAGTGACAGGAGTTCAGGATGCGCCACCCCAAAGTAGCCGAAGTCTCTTGAAAAGTGTTGGATGTGGGGAGAGGCTTTCTCTGAACTCCTGAAGTCAGATCCTCAGGGAACCAGGGACTCCCAGGGCGGGAGGGCGGGCGAGAGGTGATCCCATTGCTCCCCAGACGTGCCACAAGACACCAAGTCGCCGTCTCTGCTCTGTGGGCCGCTCACGGTTCCCCAGTCACTCCCTCTCCCCTCGGAAGCTGGCGCCTCCAGGCCTCACCGCTCTCAGGGCCTCACGTCCCTCCCTGCAAAGCCCCCCGTGCCTACGATAAACAAGTACCGCTCTTCTCCCGTGTGGGTCTGAGGTCTCCAGCTTACTTCACGGAACAGTGCCCACCTGGGAGGTGGAGCGGGGACTTTCTCCCCTGCCCAGTCCTGGATCTGGGAGAAAAAAGATAAGGTGGAGGGGAGCCACACTCGTGCAGACACAGCCTCCTGCCCCCTCTGCTGCCCGGGAGCCTCCCTCTGTCCGATGGAGGGTCTCACACAGCCTCTGCCCCCTCCGCTGCCCGGGAGCCTCCCTCTGCCCGACGGAGGGTCTCATCCTGTGTCCAGCGCTCCTGGGCAGAAGGCCCACAGCGCACATCCACACATGAACGGTGGCTGGCTGGGCCCAGGGGCCCTAACGGGCCTCTGAAAGGCCTGCAGCCAGCTCTGGTCTGTGAACCCGCCACTGCTTGTCATTTTTATCTTATAAAATCCAGCCTCACAAGCTTGCTGTCCAGGAGAATGTGGTCTTGGCCTCTCAGGGCTGACTGGCCTTGAACCAGTCCGGGAGGTCGGGCACGAGCCGGAGGTGCGGCGTCCTGTCTGGAAATCACCGCCCAGTTCCTCCAGGGCTGTGGGTGCCTGGCTCCGAGTAAGAAGCTGAACAAGCAGCAGAGACCAAGAGGTTTCTGGAGCGCCGGGAGATGCACTCACGAGCGCCTGTGGGGGAAGAAAAGTGTGCCACGGATTTCCCGAGTCCCCAGGGCTCTCACTTTACCTCAGGGAAGGCTCTATGGGCGCCGATGGTGCCGTGGTCTTGTGTGGGCGGTTCCTGGGCACCCTGGAGCTCGGGCTGTGCCCCCGAAGCTGCCTGGTGCAGGCACCAGCACCTCTTGGTGTCCTAGGGGTGCGAACAGCAGAGAAGCTGAACTGCAGGTCTGGGCAGGGAGTCTATGCCCCCTGGAGCTCTGGCCAGCAAAGTCACAGGAATAACCCTCCTTCCCCTCATGTCAGCCCTCGGTCGCAGGGTGCGGTGTGGGGGCATCAGAGTGCTTCCCCGAGGCTGCACTCACCAGCTTCCCCCAAACACAACATCGATCTTTCCCGACTTTTAATCTTGTCTAGAGTCAAAAGCTGTTCAAAAATATTCAACTCCAAGGTCAACAGTTTTGTTCTTGCCACAAAAATGTCCTTATCCTTTATCCCAGCCACAAAGAATGTGAACAATTTGACTCAAGGTTCGTGGTGGCTGGAGGGTCCCCCAGGTCCCAGGGCAGCTCCCACCTGGCGCAGGGCTCCGGCCAATGCCTGGCCTGCAGTGTGGGCGGCGGCTGCTCTCGAGGTGCACCTGTCTCATGTGGACGGATCCTGTCTGGGGCCACCAAGCTCTGCCAGCCTGAGTCACGGTCTGATGAACCCCCTCTCTGGGCTCCGCTGGGGCCTTCTGATCCCAGCCTCCTCTGCAGGGATGGGCTCCCAATCCCGCCCTCACTTGGTTCCCATGCACAGCCGAGGTCAGTGAGACCCTGGAGGCCGCGGGAGATGGGGTGGAGGGGATGGTGGGGCAGGGGGTGCTGGGGGGTTTGGGGGTGCTGTGGCCCCGGGGCAGGGGGTGCTGGGGGGTTTGGGGTGCTGTGGCCCCACCTGCACTCCCTGCCTCACTGGGACAGCACAGGAGACAGGCTTCTCCTGCAGCTCAGAGGTGGGGGCCTAGTGTAGCTGCAGGTTGTGACTGAGGAGGGCAGGGTCAGAGCATTGCCCTGGGCAGGGGTCCGTTGAGACTGGCCCCACCTTATTAGCTTGGGACCTTGGGTTACAGGGAGTCTCCTCCTGCCTCAGTTTCTACATTTCACACAGCAGCACTGCTCACAAGAGCTCCCAAGCAGAGGCAACTACTGAGTGGGGGAGGGACACAGTCCGTCCACATGGGGCCAACGGCCACAAAGAGAGGAAGGGACATGGGTGACGGTCCGTCCACGTGGGGTCACCGGCCACGGAGAGAGGAAGGGACATGGGTGACGGTCCGTCCACGTGGGGTCACCGGCCACGGAGAGAGGAAGGGACATGGGTGACGGTCCGTCCACATGGGGTCACCGGCCACGGAGAGAGGAAGGGACATGGGTGATATGGTTTTGCTGTGTCCCCACCCAAATCTCAACTTGAATTGTATTTCCCAGAATTCCTGCGCGTTGTGGGAGGGACCCAGCGGGAGGTAATTGAATCATGGTGGCTGGTCTTTCCCGTGCTATTCTCGTGATAGTGAGTAAGTCTCACGAGATCTGACTGGTTGATCAGGATTTCCGCTTTTGCTTCTTCCTCATTTTCTCTTGCTCCTGCCGTGTAAGAAGTGCCTTTTGCCTCCCACCGTGATTCTGAGGCCTCCCCAACCATGTGCAATTGTAAGTCCCGTTAAACCTCTTTTTTTCCCAGTCTCGGGTATGTCCTTATTAGCAGTGTGAAAACAGAATACTACAGTGGTCCATCCACACGCGGGTCTCACCCAGCCACAGAGAGGGAGAGGACGTGGCCCATCCACACGCGGGTCACCCGGCCACGGAGAGGAAGGAAGCTCTAACGGGTGCTGAGGCTGTAACACACAGTGCTCAGGGAAGGACACCAGACATGAAGACTGTGTTCTGTTTATATGCAGTGTCCAGAGAAGGCGTGTCCACAGACAGAAGCCGACTGGGAAAGGAGGTGCAGTCACTGCTCAGGGACACGGGTTCTTTTCGGGGAGGCAAGCGTGTTCGCAGCGTGTTCTGTATGGGGAGAGATGCAGTCACTGCTCAGGGACACGGGTTCTTTTCGGGGAGGCAAGCGTGTTTGCAGCGTGTTCTGGATGGGGAGAGGTGCAGTTACTGGTCAGGGACACGAGTTCTTTTCGGGGAGGCAAGCGTGTTTGCAGCGTGTTCTGGATGGGGAGAGGTGCAGTCACTGGTCAGGGATACGAGTTCTTTTCGGGGAGGCAAGTGTGTTCTAAGCGTGTTCTGGATGGGGAGAGGTGCAGTCACTGGTCAGGGACACGAGTTCTTGTGGGAAGAGGAGTGTCCGGGAGCCAGATGGCAGTGATGGGTGGACGGCCCCGTGGATGGACTGACCACCGACCCATGCTCTGCACTCATGAGGCGTGGCTATTGCTGTGTGAATCACATCTCCATGGAAACGGGAGTGGGAGAAACGGGCCCCAAGGATGTTGTGAAGATGGCCTTATGGGGCTGCACTGGTGACTTGGACAGTGCTGGCCACCGGCCCTGCTCAGTGAACAAGAGCCATGGTCATCACCCTCGCCACACAGAGCAGCTCCTCCTGCAGACTTGGGGACCCCGTGGCCACCAGACCCCGCGGTGGGAGCAGAGATGCCTCCGAAACTCTGGAGACCCACAGAGGCAGAAGAGGATTCCACGAGGCCGGGGCCCGTCAGCAGATCCTCAGACGGCGACACGCGCCACTTCCTTTTCTGTTTCCTAGACCTTTTAACTGATGGAATTCAGTAAGCAGAAAACGTGCTTGAAACAAGGGCACCATGGAGCGGACCCTCCCCCTCTCCCCTCGTGGAGTCCTTGACCCTGGGGCAGGTGACCCTTCTTGCTTTGCAGGCAGGGGCTGTGGCTGGAGCTTCTCCTACAAATGGGCTGTGCTGGGATTAGCCCGGCTGTACATTTGCTTTATGCTTCCGTTGGCATTTAAAAATCTGATGTTCATATTTGCCGTATTACGTGAAGTAGGACGAAACGTTCCTTCTTGCTTAGAGCAGTGTTTCCCCAGAGGTGCCCGGGCCCAGGGGACAGTGGCCAACCTCTGGAGACATTTCGTGTTGTCATGAGGCTGGGTGTCCAGGAGGGGGCGATGCTGCATCTGCTGTGCACAGGACGCGGCCACATCAAAGGACCCCACCTGCAAAACACATGCCCAACCTCCTTCCTCCTCTCCAGCCCAGAGTCAGGGCTGTCCCCCCTCCCTCCAGGGGACACATCCCCCCTCCCTCCACGGGATACATCCCCCCTCCCTCCACGGGACACATCCCTCCTCCCCCCACGGGACACATCCCCCCTCCCCCCACGGGACACATCCCCCCTCCCTCCAGGGGACACATCCCCCCTCCCTCCACGGGACACATCCCCCCTCCCTCCACGGGACACATCCCCCCTCCCTCCAGGGAACACATCCCCCCTCCCTCCAGGGGGCACATCCCCCCTCCCTCCACGGGGCACATCACCCCTCCCTCCAGGGGGCACATCCCTCCTCCCTCCAGGGCGCACATCCCTCCTCCCTCTAAGGGGCACATCCCTCCTGCCTCCCCAGGGCACCAGCACTTGCACCACGTGCTCTGTCTTCCCATCCTCTTGCACACCCCAGACATGCCTGGTTGTGGAGGGTGCCAGGTCGCCAACGTGACAGGCCTGGCTGGGCCTCTGTGTTGCAATTCCTAGCACCATTGGTTTTGCTTGTTTGGGACAGTGGTTATTATAACTTCTGGCACCCCCGGAACTCTAAGAAAACAATACTAGGAAACAGAAGTTCCTGATTCGTCTGGAGGCAGAGCAGAAACCCAGGCGGAGGGTTGTGTCCTGAGGACACTGGTGACTGTAGCCTGTGTCTGTGGGGGCCTCCCCACGTCTCTGTCCCTGAGACTGGCCGTTGCCTGTTTTTGCTCCTGGCCGTCTTGACTTGGGGAGGATGGAGGTTGGGCAGGAGCAGGCTCCCAGCCGGCTGGGGAACATTATGGGAGAGCACTGGGGGGCACCCACCAATGTGATCTGACGGACGCCGCAGTGCCGGGCTGGAGGCCGGGATCTGAGGGACGCCGCGGTGCCGGGCTGGAGGCCGGGATCTGAGGGACGCTGCGGTGCCGGGCTGGGATCTGACGGACACCGCGGTGCCGGGCTGGAGGCCGGGATCTGAGGGACGCCGCGGTGCCGGGCTGGAGCCTGGGATCCCAGCGTGCGGCTGTGGCCCCTGTGGCCGTGTGAGGCCGTGCAGTGGGCAGTGCAGGGCTCTCCTGGGGCCCAGGGGGCTGTGTTCCACGGGCTTCTTGGAGCTCTGCTCAGCTGGCTCTGGCATCGTCGGGGTCAGACGAGTTGGCCTGCTTAGCGAGCCGTCAGCATCCACGCCTGGGCCTCCCAGAACTGGGCTTCTGTGCTGATGGCCAGATCCGAGCCCTGGGCCCGACCATCCTCAGCCCAACCAGCACCTGGACATCCCGGAGCCAGCGTGGAGGCCTGGGCTGCGGGTCCCCGACCGTGTGAGCAGCCGGTGGCCATCTGTCCCGGCCCGAGTGGAGAAAGCGCATCTGCCTGCGGAAGGTCCACGTGCTGCTGGGCGAGGCTGGCGAGAGCCGTCACACACACGCGGGGCCGCTGGCGGCAGATGGACGTTTCCGAAGGGAGCCGGCAGGAGCCTGACGTCTGCCCTCTGAGGCCAGGGCCTCCCCCGTCACTATTTTCTCACGGTACCGAAGCGAAAGTTGCCTGCAATACCTCTTAGACTAGGTTGAAGTCCTGAATTCAGGCTGCAGCCCTCAATCAACAGAACTTCTGCCCAGGTGCTGCCAAGATTTTGGGGAGAACAAGAGGCCCTTGCCCGGCGTGTCCAGAGCAAGTGGCATCATGCCCACGATGGCGCAGGGTCATGGGATGTGGCCCGAGGAGCCCATAACTGGCACCGGTCAACAAGAGCCCCAGAGACACAGGGTGGGCCTGCCAGGGACCCTCAGGGACCACCAGGGCCTGGAGGCTCCAGCGTAGACGAGCTGGGCGGCTCTGGACGGCAGGGGATGGGGCCCCCTGTGCATGGCCCCTGGCAAGGTGCCTGGCTGGCCGTCCATCCGTGGGGTGAGCTCGGCCCAGGCGGGCAGGGTCCCTCCAGGTGGGCATGAGTGTTGCTGGCTCCCGAGCCTTGGAGAAGCTCTGCCCATTCCACAGCCGTCAGGCCGGGGGCCAGAGGGAAGCCGCTCCTTCCCGGCCCGAGGCTGCCCCTCAGGAGCCCACTCGGCCGATGCCACCTTGTCAGTCCAGCCAGCGGGGCCTCCCCTGTGGCCTTCAAAGCCACAGGCCTCTTTCTAGAAACCTCTTTGCAGTTCATTTGTGGCGATTTATCCCTGGATGGGTTCTCATGGATTCTATCCTTCTTCTCCACCCGACTTTTCTCTAGGTCAAGTGCTGACCCCAGCCAGGCAGAGGCAAAGATGCCCCGACGCACAGCCTGTCCTGCCCGGTGGGCGCAGCTCTGGGACTGACTGGTGGGAGGTGGGGCTGCTCCGAGCTGCCCCGTCTCACTCCTGCCCAGGGAGCTCCGAGCACGGGTGGGGGTTTGGTCTTAAAGTGGAATCCTGGTTTGGGCCTCAGAGCTGAAACCCTCCCTGATCCCCCGTGTGGCCCCTGCAGTGACCGCATCCACCCTGGGGACCCATGTTTGGCCCAGAGGCTCGAGCACAGGTGGCCGCGTCCCACGGGAGCGTCAAGCCATGAGTCTTGGTCGTCCCCTTGGGACCAAGGAGAAGCAGTGACTCCGTGGCCCCCACCAGCTGCGGCTCCGACATCCTTCCAGGAGGCAGGCAGGGTCCCGACTGCATTTCAGGCACCTGCCTGGCCGCGTTCCGGCTGCCCTGACCTTCCCTGCAGACTTGTGGCCTGCTGGGGTCAGAGAGCACCAGTGACCGCTCCACCCCTTGCAGACAAGGAAGCTGAGGCTGAGGGACATGGGGACCCTGCCAGTGGGGACGCGGGAAGCAGGGCTGGCTTTGCTCCTGGCAAGCTCTACCCCAGACCGACACAGAGAAAGCAGTTTCCCTTTCTCAACAGAACACACTTGAGGCCCGGAAGCAAGTGGATCTGTGCAGGAGGGTGGGGACGGGAATGGCACAGGGGTGCAGGCGCTGCCTCGGTGTCTTCCGGCCCTCGGTCCCAGCTCGGGGTCCCTCCCAGGTTGGCTCAGAGGCCGCTGCCCCAGCAGCCTGCATTTGTGTGCCAAGCCCTCCTCACTCAGCAATGACTGGCTGCCTGTGGTGGGGGCCGAGCAGGGCGTTCTCCGCATTTACAGAACAAGTAAACTGAGGCTCCAGCCCCTGCCGCCACTACCAGAGGAGTCAGAGGCTCCTGGGGAGCAGACCGTGGCTGCCCAACCAGGCTGGGAGCAGAAAAGAGGGAGGGATCTTTGGAGCGGCTGAGGGTGCGGCCTGGAGCCCTGGCAGCCCCGCTCATCCCAAACGCTGCTACGTGTGCAGAACCCCGCGGGGAGCAGATGACGGCCACGCGGTGTTACAAAGCTTTCTGTAAATATTTTATTTTCCATATTTTAGAGTCAGAAAGAAGCGCTTGGTAATAAAAATAATAGAGAATTATTTTCTTCGAGCCCGCTCTGCGCTGCGCCGGCCTCCCCGCGCCCGGGCCCACGGCTGAGTGCGCGGCGTCAGAGGCCCCAAGTCCATCTCACTATTTACAGATATGTTACAGGCCGGGATGGTCACAGAGGAAAGCCCAGCTCTCAGCATGGCCCCACGTGGTGAGGAGCCCCCAGGCTCCTCCCGGCTGTCTCGGACAGAGACTGAGAAGCCTGCCGCGTCCCGTGGGGGCCTAGGCTGCGGCGGGCTCCACGGGGGGGCAGGAGTGGGCCGTGATGTCGCTGTGCTTGTACGCCGCCTCGTCCAGGTCCAGCAGCCTCCGGTTGACCTCCAGTGTCATGCAGCCGCGGTAGAACGCGGTGACTGGCGCTGAAGTCACCGGCACATCTGGGCCGCAGGGAGAGAACAACATATCTTAGCTCACCACGTGGCCGGCCCCGCCTGGCCCCCCCACCCCCGGCAGCGCTTGTGGCCAGCCCCGGGTTCCCTCCGAAAGGGCAGGGTTTCCCTTTCTTCTCTAACTTCTCGGTCCCCGTTCGTTTGGCCGCAGACCCGGCAGACAAGCAGGAGGCATCTGCCAGCCTGGGCTCTGCAGACGCCAGCCCTCCCTTCCCCGCTGGGAGCACAGACAGTCCCATCGGTTAAACGTGATCTTCTTCTGTGCCCAGTGAGTCATTCAGGCTGCAGGCCTCCTGGCTCGCTCTCATCCTCTTCAAAGCTCTGTTTATTAAAACTAAGTGGAGTCTGTGTCTGGCAGCCAAGAGAGAAATCCTGCCGTTTGCCGCAAGTGAAAACCTGCGGGCAGCCGAGGACTTGCCGGCTCCCACGTGCCTTTCCGCTGACCCTCCCAGCTCATGGCAAGGACATCCCCGGTCCCAGCCTCTGTGCTGTGTAGCCCATGGGACACGGCAGGACGCCCTGCTGGACATGGGAGGGGCTGGCGGTCACTCTGTTCGCTGCTAACAGCTGCGGTGACAGCCGCGGGTCCCAACTGCAGCCTGGCCCGAGGTCTGCCCAGCCCTCTCCCCCGGGGCTGGTCTGATGGGTGTGGACGAATGCTCCCTGAAGATGCAGGTTCGTGGGGCCTGACTCAGGCCAATGCCGGCCCCCGTACGTGTTTCTCAGTCTCAGCCAATGACCTGACCAGCACCGAGACACCATAATAGCCACTAACGACCCACCTGGACTTCTCCTTCCTCTTAAAACACAAGTCCTCTTCCGCATTCACTACCAGAAACCCCAGCCTGTCCAGGTTAGATCTGGGGTGACCAAGCTGGGCCTCCCTGGAGCTCTTCACCCGGGTTGAGCGGAGCAGGGAGCACCTACCTGGCAGGCCGCCAGCAAAGGTGAGCACGGGGCTCCGCAGGTGCCTCTCGAGCACGGCCAGCCTCTCCTGCAGCTGCGCGGCGCTCACCTCGCTCTGGCCCCTGGTGCCGTCCACCTCCAGGGTGGCCTCACCGTCCCTCAGCGAGACGGTGACCACGTGCTCTTGGCCGTCGCAGACCTTGATCTCCATTAGGGCCAAGGCCGTATGCTCCACGGCCAGGACCACCAGCTGCAGGAGACCGAGGTGTGGTCAGGGCCTGCCGGCCACCCCTACGTGAGCTGTTAGGTCCAAGCTGGTCCTCACAGCTGCTGGCCACCCCTACGCCGCACGCCTGTCTCCGTCCAGGGTTCCCTGCAGCCCTGGGTCTGGATGCTCGCTGACTGTGGATGACACCCCCACCCCACCTGGGGCTCAGCTTCTCTGCACGTAAAGCCAGGGGCCAGCCTGGGAGGCTGTGGGGGAACAAGTGTGGCCCCCAGGTTGGGTGTGAGAGGGTCAACCCCAGCCCCAGGCACCAGGCACACACAAGACCGAGGCTGCACTTGACCAGGAACTGGGGTGGCCCTGATGGGGACCCAGGACCCAGCCCTGCGGTGGCGGCCTCCCAGCCCGGTGGGCACTCACGCTGGCACCACAGCCCAGCAGCCCAGGGGTCGGCTGTTGCTACATAACAGCAGCTGTTTATTCCAGATGCTGAGATTGGGTCTGGCCCTGGTAACGAGCATTTGCATGAACCAAGCCTGTCTGTCGTATCCCAGCAAGCGGGAGGGCTCTGTGGCCCCGGGGTGGGCAGACTTGGAGAACGTGAGCCTCTCTGGTTTGACCCATGTCTCCCTCCTTAGCACACGAGCGAGAGAATAAAAGCTGTTTCTGTCACCTCTTGATTGTTCTGTGGGGAAAACAGCATGAGTCCCCCAGCCCAGGACAGCTGACTTATTGTGAGGACCGGGGGTGGGGGGACCTTGTCCAAGGGGCAGCTGCACTCAGCTCCACCCGGTGTCCCCCACGGAAAGACGCTGTTGGGGGACCGGCCAAGGTCACAGATCCGACTTTTCCAGGGAAATTGGAAAACTGAGTTTGTTGCTGAAATCATCTGACTTAAACACCAGAGACTAATTCAGATTGCTGTGAGCCACCATCTGCCCAACCGAACAGGGGAAAAGCTCCCACACTGTGAGCCGAGTGTGGCTCGCAGGCGCCGGCCCCCTCAGCTGTGTGGCGGTGACCTGGTGTCCAAACAACCCCCGCAGCCCGAAGCGTGGCCCACGCCGGGCTTGGCTCATCAGACCTCTGGTCAGAGGCTTTGGGGGTCCCTGGGGATCCCACCGCGGGCCCCCTTCGTCCCCTGCCAGGGAGTGCAGCCCACGTACCCGTGGGTCGAGCCGGTCAGGACGCCCTGGGTGGCGGAGGCCCTACCTGCTTCTTGAGTTTCTTCGTGGAGTGATAGTCTACCAGTGCCACAGAGAGAGGCACGGCACGGAGGTCGGGGGCCCAGAGCGCAAACAGCACGCCTGTGTCTGCGGCTGGGCGGATGTGAGCCACGACTTCTACTTCCCAGGTTGATTCAGTCCCGACGTCCAGAGGGGTCCGCACTGCAATGAAAGCGGTGCATTATAGGGTGGTATGCACGGTGGAGAGGCCACAGTGAGGTCGGAGCAGGGCCTCGAGAGATGCAGTCCCAGCCGGGGTGGGAAGCTGTGCAGACAGCCCCGGATCTGGGACGTGATGGAAAACTCAACAGACTGGTTCAGATCTTGGCCCGGAGCCCAGAGGCACCGGGGACCCCCAGGCTGTTTCTCCCTGGCCACACCAGTACCCCACTTCCAAATGCCCTGTAGGTGACCACCAGGCCACACAGGCCCGTCTGAGGGGCCACAGGCTGTGCACCATGGGACGCAGGCCTGTCCCTGCCTCCCTCCGATGTCCTCTTGTTTCAGGAGCGCCTGACAGCTCCTTCCTCAGAGCGTGCGTGGCCTCGTGCCTCGCATCTCACCTGCAGCTTTCAGGTAGCAGCACAGGGCCCAGTGGGGGCTGAGAGTTTAAGATAGCATGCGGACAGGAGCTGTCATGAGCACGGTGGTCTGGGGTCTGAGCTGTCAGGAGCACGCGCGGTCTGGGGTCTGAGCTGTCAGGAGCACCCGCGGTCTGAGTTCTGAGCTGTCAGGAGCACCGTGGTCTGGGGTCTGAGCTGTCGGGAGCACGCGTGGTCTGGGGTCTGAGCTGTCAGGAGCACCCGCGGTCTGGGGTCTGAGCTGTCGGGAGCACGCGCGGTCTGGGGTCTGAGCTGTCAGGAGCACCCGCGGTCTGGGGTCTGAGCTGTCGGGAGCACGCGCGGTCTGGGGTCTGAGCTGTCAGGAGCACCCGCGGTCTGGGGTCTGAGCTGTCGGGAGCACCTGCGGTCTGGGGTCTGAGCTGTCAGGAGCACGCGCGGTCTGGGGTCTGAGCTGTCAGGAGCACATGCGGTCTGGGGTCTGAGCTGTCGGGAACATGTGTGGTCTCCCAGGGAGAATGCCACGGCATATCCTCTCCACGCTGAGCCCTCCGTGGACTAAGAAGCCAGAAGAAAAAACTTCCGCCCTGTTTTCAGTGTTTCTATCTCACCCAGAATTCCAAAGTCCTGATAAAGAAGCTGTTTTAGGAAAAAGGACCCCAAATCACTGTGTGTACACATTTGTGACTGGGCGCCTCGCACTGCAGGCCAAGGTTGGGGTCAGAGTGAATTGTGCTGGTTTCCCTGTCTCTTTCCCACGGGGCTGTGTACGCCTGAAACCCACATCGCCTGTCCTGCCTGTCCCTAGCTGGTACCCGCCACATCAGTTCTCAACAACCATTTATGGCACCGAAACACACAAAATCAGAAAAAGTAACAAAAATATTGCAACAGAATCAAAAAGTAACAACAAAAAGTCTCCTGTTTGCCGGTCTTCCCATAACCTGTGAAGGGAGAGATGATGGTGTTCTTTAAAATGGAAGCTCCCAGTCGGGCGTGGTGGCTCACGCCTGTAATCCTAGCAATTTGGGAGGCTGAGGTGGGTGGATCACCTAAGGTCGGGAGTTCGAGACCAACCTGACCAACATGGAGAAACCCCATCTCTACTAAAAATGCAAAATTAGCTGGGTGTGGTGGTGCATGCCTGTAATCCCATCTACTCGGGAGGCTGAGGCAGGAGAATCGCTTGAACCTGGGAGGCGGAGGTTGTGGTATGAACCTGGGAGGTGGAGCCAAGATCGTGCCATTGTACTCCAGTGTGGGCAACAAAGGCGAAACTCCGTCTCAAAAAAAAAAAAAAAAAAAAAAAAGGAAGCTCCTGACAGGAGGCTAGGCACATGTTGGCCATCGGGGCTTCACAAGGGCACCGGCCTCTGCTCTCCCCGGGAAGGTTTCCCGGCTCCACGTGGCCCCTTGCATGGAGGCTGCACAGACCCGGAGATCTGCAAGCCTGAGCCCAGCAGAGTCGCTGCAGAGTGAGCCAGGCCAGTACTACCATTCCCAGCAAGTCTCCTCTGTCTTGTAAGAGACGTTACTGGTATAGTTTGAGATTCACTGGAAATGCATGGAGCTGTAACTGCTTCTGTCCGGATAGACCAAAAAGGGCCGGCAGACGCGGCCGGCAGTCACTGGAAATGGCCCCTGTGATGCCTGCATAAGGTTACCCCTGAGAAATGTGTATGATATTAAGTGGAAAAAGGATTTAAGCATTTCATATGACATGATTTCGTGTCAAACATTATGATGCTCTAGATTTGGAAGTCCAAAAATCAAGACTGAGGGAGAACGCGTGTGCACAGTCAGTCCAGCCAGTGGCAGATGGCGCTTTTCTCAGATGCCTTTCCTGACACGGTCACGCTTTTGACACCCGGGGGGAGACGGTGACACTGGATCTGGCTCAGGACGGGGCAGGACCCTCCCCTTTGCTCCGCGTGGATCCCCTTGAACCTGGGGTTCCTGCTGGGTGCTTGAGGGCCGGCAGCCCTGAGATCTGACGGAGGGGGCGCTGCCTGCCCTCTGTGCGTGTGGGGGCTTCACCATAAACGGCTCGGTGTCCAGGAATAGGGCAGGGCTGTGGTGCCCCAGTGGGGCCCACGTGGGGTGGGAATGTGAGGCAGGGTGGGGCCGAGCAGTAACACTATCCTCACAGCAGCACCCCCGGAGCCTGCACTGGGGAGGGCGGCAGCGTGGCGTCACAGGACTGGGCCAGCAGCTCACATCCACCCTGTCCTCCCTTTTTCAGGCCTAGGTTCACTGTCCCCCAGGCAGCTTCACGGCTGTTTTTACACACCTCCCATTGTAGCTGTCTCACCGGGTCATCGGTGACCACGGTGTCCACCATGTTACCGAGAGCTTCTCTGTGCCCCTGGACGAGTCCTAAGGCTGTGCTGTCTCCGGACTTTCTGCAAAGGACCCTGTAAGGCTCCCAGCCTCCCCGGCCTCGCAGGCACCTTCTCTCCCCGGCCTCCCGGCGCTGGCCTCGCAGGCACCTTCTCTCCCCAGCCTCCCGGCGCCGGCCTCGCAGGCACCTTCTCTCCCCGGCCTCCCGGCGCCGGCCTCGCAGGCACCTTCTCTCCCCGGCCTCCCGGCGCCGGCCTCGCAGGCACCTTCTCTCCCCGGCCTCCCGGCGCTGGCCTCGCAGGCACCTTCTCTCCCCGGCCTCCCGGCGCCGGCCTCGCAGGCACCTTCTCTCCCCGGCCTCCTGGCGCCGGCCTCGCAGGCACCTTCTCTCCCCCGCCTCCTGGCGCCGGCCTCGCAGGCACCTTCTCTCCCCGGCCTCCTGGCACTGGCTTCGCAGGCACCTTCTCGGCACATCTCTCTCATTTCTTCTTCACTGGCTGACTCTGAACTGAGTGACCTGCATGGCCATCCTGAGAGGTGGGCCTCTGCCCGCACCTCCGCCCACCCCGCCCACCCATCCCTGCCCCGGAACCGGAGGAGCCTCAGCTTGTCCTGACGCTGCCATCTGAGGCCGTCTGCTTGCTTTCAGCGTATGCCTGTCTGAAGGTGCAGCCACAGCCACCCCAACGGTAAGAGCCAAGACTTACTGTAGTCCAGGCTGTAGAAGGCGAAGCCGCTCCCGGGGTAGAAAGAGCCTCTCTCCGTCACCGAGAAGCACTGCATCCTCGTGTTCACTTTCACCGTTTCCTGGATGGTGGTGTCTTCTCCGTTCAGCCAGTTCCAGCTCCTCATGCAGCCATCCAGACGAGGGTTTATCTGGAAAGGCAGAGAAATCTCCGTGGCTTCCTGGGAGCGAGAAGCCCCATGCCGGATGCCCCAGTCGGTGGGTGGCGCCTTCGCGGCCCTGGTATGTGCAGCTCTACGGCAGAAACGGGCCAGTCCCATCGGTGGTGGCCATTTCACAGAAGGTTTCTTCACTTTACACAACGCCTCACTGCAGAATACCTATTTCCACTGGTGTATGCTCAAGAACTAAAGGTTCATTTTAAAGCTAGGAAAGGACTGAAAAGGCCATGTGGGTCTAAGGTCAAAGAGTATGGATTGTTCAACCATCCAACACTCATGTGAATTATTCAATATTCAATATGGCTGTGGGCAAATCAGGGCAACCCCCTTATCTGTGAAACGAGGAGGGTCCAGCCAGGCAAAGTCCCGGCACCAGGCTGTCTGTGGGCCTGGGAAGCAGGTGCCCCTCACAACACCGAAGGTCCCGGCACCAGGCAGTCTGTGGGCCTGGGGAGCAGGTGCCCCTCACAACACTGAAGGGGTGGCTTCAGCACAGGCACTGCCGACACTCAGCACCCAAAGACGCGAAGACATGCGTGCCTTTCTCCTGCCTGGTGTGGAAGTGAAAATACCCAGGATGACGGCTTAGACGTCAGCACGTGGGGGCTGGAGACACAGGTCGGGGGCACGGGCGTGTGCTGTGCTGAAGGGGAGAGAAGGCGGGACCTGGAGCAATGGCCCACACTGACCGCCCATCATGGCTGTTTTCCCCTTATGAGACTCACGGCAGAGTTACAAAACCCAAAATGTTCTTGGAAATTGTCCAAAAAAGTTTACTGTTCTGTTAAAGAATAATTTCGGCCGGGCGCGGTGGCTCACGCCTGTAATCCCAGCACTTTGGGAGGCCGAGGTGGGCAGTTCACGAGGTCAGAAGATCGAGACCACGGCGAAACCCCGTCTCTACTAAAAATACAAAAAAATTAGCCGGACGTGGTGGCGGGCGCCTGTAGTCCCAGCTGCCTGGGAGGCTGAGGCAGGAGAATGGCGTGAACCCGGGAGGCGGAGCTTGCAGTGAGCCGAGATCGCGCCACTGCACTCCAGCCTGGGCAACAGAGCAAGACTCCGTCTCAAAAAAAATAATAATAATTTAATTGTGTCTTATCTCCATTGAAAAATAGACAACTTTATTATCAATTCAGATGAAAACTTAGGTCTCATAAAAAGAGATGGTAAAATTAATGACATAGCTGTACGGCGACTTTGTCAAACTCTAGGAAACCTTTCCTTCCTCTAGGTCCTCCTCACACCTGGTTAATGGTAAACACAGGGCAGGGTGTGACTGAGGCTTCCTGACACCGTTCCCGGGATCCCAGCACACGGCGCGTCTACACAGGGACAGGTACAGTACTCACAGGCTGCACGAGGTCCTTCTCATGGAAGGGAATACCTCCCACGGTCAGGTTCAGATGATACAGTCCTCGCTCCGGTTGGAACAAGTCCCCGGCCACCGCGATTTTCATGACAGCATCCCTGTTGACCTTGATGACCAGATTCCGCGCCAGCTCCTCAACAGAGATCTGAAGAGAGGCAGCGCCATGAGAAAAGATGGGAGTGCACGTTCTGAAGGGGCTCCCAACTGAGAAAAACCACACTCATCCTCTCCTGAGCCAAGAGGGTCCCGACCTCGGGGAGGCCACCTGATCCTCACCTGGGCCAAGAGGGTCCCAACCTCAGGGAGACCACCTGATCCTCCCCTGAGCCAAGAGGGTCCCGATCTCAGGGAGACCACCTGATCCTCCCCTGAGCCAAGAGGGTCCCGACCTCAGGGAGACCACCTGATCCTCCCCTGAGCCAAGAGGGTCCCGATCTCAGGGAGACCACCTGATCCTCACCTGGGCCAAGAGGGTCTCAATCTCAGGCAGACCACATGATCCTCACCTGGGCCAAGAGGGTCCCGATCTCAGGGAGGCCACCTGATCCTCACCTGGGCCAAGAGGGTCCCGACCTCAGGGAGACCACCTGATCCTCCCCTGAGCCAAGAGGGTCCCGATCTCAGGGAGACCACCTGATCCTCACCTGGGCCAAGAGGGTCTCAATCTCAGGCAGACCACATGATCCTCACCTGGGCCAAGAGGGTCCCAATCTCAGGGAGGCCACCTGATCCTCACCTGGGCGAAGAGGGTCCCAATCTCAGGGAGACCACCTGATCCTCACCTGGCCAAGAGGGACCTGACCTCAGGGAGACCACCTGATCCACACCTGAGCCAAGAAGGTCCCAATCTCAGGGACACCACCTGATCCTCACCTGGGCCAAGAGGGTCTCAATCTCAGGGAGACCACATGATCCTCACCTGGGCCAAGAGGGACCTGACCCGGGGAGACCACCTGATCCTCACCTGGGCCAAGAGGGTCCCAACTTCAGAGAGACCACCTGATCCACACCTGAGCCAAGAGGGTCCCAACCTCAGAGAGACCACCTGATCCTCACCTGAGCCATGAGGGACCTGATCTCAAGGAGACCATCTGATCCTCACCTGGGCCAAGAGGGACCTGACCTCAGGGAGTCCACCTGATCCTCACCTGGGCCAAGAGGGACCTGACCTCAGGGAGTCCACCTGATCCTCACCTGGGCCAAGAGGGTCCCAATCTCAGGGAGGCCACCTGATCCTCACCTGGGCCAAGAGGGACCTGACCTCGGGGAGACCACCTGATCCTCACCTGAGCCAAGAGGGTCCCAATCTCAGGGAGACCCCCTGATCCACACCTGAGCCAAGAAGGTCCCAATCTCAGGGAGACCACCTGATCCTCACCTGAGCCAAGAGGGACCTGACCTCAAGGAGACCACCTGATCCACACCTGAGCCAAGAGGGTCCCAACCTCAGAGAGTCCCTGCTCATCATCTGGGCCAGGAGGGCCCTCGATGCATCAATGTGGTCACCAAAACCTTTCCTCATAGAAAACCTGTAAAGTCTAATGCTAGATACACTATATTCCTGAGCTTCAGAAGAATATCCTTCTTCCTGTGTGAAAACACCTTTCAGGTATTTGGGTTTGAACTGAGTCACAAAAACATGGTACAAATTCGGGTCAGCTGGGTTTGGGCAGCAGCTAGAGAGGGTGGAATTGGGGAGGGGTCCTCATGAGGTACCCCTGCTGGGGAAGGGCCTGTCTTGGTGGGGTGCTGCGGCCGCTGTGAGTCACTGGGCGGGACTACACTGCAACACCGCTCCCCCAGGTGACCTCGCCTCAGGCCACCTGCCCTGGGCCCCTCCTCCCCGTGGCTCCATCCCCTGCAACACCGCTCCCCCAGGCGACCTCGCCTCAGGCCACCTGCCCCGGGCCCCTCCTCCCCGTGGCTCCATCCCCTGCAACACCACTCCCCCAGGTGACCTCGCCTCAGGCCACCTGCCCCGGGCCCCTCCTCCCCGTGGCTCCATCCCCTGCAACACCGCTCCCCCAGGTGACCTCGCCTCAGGCCACCTGCCCCGGGCCCCTCCTCCCCATGGCTCCATCCCCTGCAACACCGCTCCCCCAGGCGACCTCGCCTCAGGCCACCTGCCCCGGGCCCCTCCTCCCCATGGCTCCATCCCCTGCAACACCACTCCCTCCAGGCGACCTCGCCTCAGGCCACCTGCCCCGGGCCCCTCCTCCCCATGGCTCCATCCCCTGCAACACCGCTCCCCCAGGCGACCTCGCCTCAGGCCACCTGCCCTGGGGCCCTCCTCCCCGGGGCTCCATCCCTGAAACTGCTTCTGCTTCCTTTGCTTTCTGTAGCTTTGCTGAGAACAGCCTCCTGCTCTTGGAGATACTGCTCCTTTAAGAGGTTGGGAAAAATGGAGCGAGGCATTGCTTTGCAGGATGGAAATACAAGTCTACAATGTTTCTGAAGGGCAAGACGTGCTTTCCACCTTTCTTCCCAACGTTTCCTTCTGCAAGCCCAGTATGGTGAGGGAGGCCCAGCGCTGTGGGCGGGAGCCTGGTTGCTTACAGGCCCTCTCGCTCCACGGATGGGGATGTGGGGTGGGCACGTTTTACCGCTGCCCACAGCTGCCCAAGTGCAGGTCTGACCAGGACCCCTCAGGTTGCCCATGGGGCTGGGGTCCAGGTGGTCAGGACGTCTCTGGCAAGGGGCAGCTCCCGTGAGGTCACCTGGACCCTTGGCATGCATGGCCGCACTGACCAGCAGGCCCTGGGAGCCAGGGCTCAGGGACCGCAGCGTCCACGCCGTCCTACAGGGAAGGGTGGGCGGGCGGCGCCTGGCCTGGCCACGGCCCGGGAGACACGTACGGCGGGAGCTCTGGGCTGTGGTGCGGGTTCAGTGGCGGCCTCCTCCCCTGGTGGGGCACCCTGCGTGTAGCGTCAAGCAGCCCTGGCTTCTGTTCCCCACTCTGCTCGGGATAAACAGCATGGCCTCCAGACACAGCCCAGGGTCCCCTGGGGCTGAGAACCACGGGTTCTACCTGAGCCAGGGTGACCAAACTCAGGGAGACCAAACTGACAGGTTGCACTCAAGGCCCCTTTCTGAGGGAGCCAGGCTGAAACGTGATGAAATAGCAGAGAGGCCTAGAGCACCACAGTGAGCCCCCAGAGCATGAACTAAACGGGGCAGGGGTCCCCGTCCCCCGGAGCATGAACTAAACGGGGCAGGGGTCCCCGTCCCCCGGAGCATGAACTAAACGGGGCAGGGGTCCCCGTCCCCCGGAGCATGAACTAAACGGGGCAGGGGTCCCCGTCCCCCGGAGCATGAACTAAACGGGGCAGGGGTCCCCGTCCCCCGGAGCATGAACTAAACGGGGCAGGGGTCCCCGTCCCCCGGAGCATGAACTAAACGGGGCAGGGGTCCCCGTCCCCCGGAGCATGAACTAAACGGGGCAGGGGTCCCCGTCCCCCGGAGCATGAACTAAACGGGGCAGGGGTCCCCGTCCCCCGGAGCATGAACTAAACGGGGCAGGGGTCCCCGTCCCCCGGAGCATGAACTAAACGGGGCAGGGGTCCCCGTCTCCCGGAGCATGAACTAAACGGGGCAGGGGTCCCCGTCCTGCCGGCACGCAGCAGATGCAGGCCCCAGAGCTCATCTCCTAACGGTTGCATAAGCGAGTGACAGCTGAGTCTGGCTCAGGGAGAACCCCGTGAGGCCTGGAAGGGGTGGCTGCCGCACACTCACTGTCTGCCACATGCCATGGTTGATGACCGGGCCGCTGCTGGTGACACGGCCGACACCGTTGTAGCGCAGCTGCAGCTCCAGCCGGCCGGCTCTCAGGGCCAGCACGATCCAGGTGCTGTCCTGGTGGCCTCCGGCAAAGAGGAGGATGCCCTCGGGGTCAAAGGTCCGGAAGTCAAACTCAGCTACCAGCCTGGGCACCCACAGGAGAAATGAGTCAGCACTGGGCACAGGCAGATGCCCGGCCCCTCCCTGCTGGCCGAACCCTGGCCCGGGCCCTGTGAAGCCAGTGTCTTGGCCATTCTAAGTTGTGTTGCCTCCTGTGGACACCTCCTCACCTGGTGGGCTGCAGCCTCTTGAAGCGCAGTCGGATCACGGGGGTCCCACTGAACATCCGGCCCAGGTACAAGGACTTCACACTCTTGGCCACGCTGAAGGGCACGCACGGCAAGATGTCCTGCCACGGACGGGGGCCACGCCGGTCGGGGATGTGGCCTTCACTCCTGCTCCCCTGAGCCCCACGCCCCGGCCGCGCAGCGGGTCCACTGTCCCTCCTGTGCCTCGGGAGTGGCCACCCCGCCTCTAGCTGCTGAGACCCCAGAGGCTGTCACACCTGCCCCACTGGGACTCCCAGGTGAAGGGCGGGCTTGCAGCAGCCGCTTCCCACAGGGCTTCTCGGGGGTCCCCGTCATCTCCTTCCCTGCTCATTTCCCTTGACCCTTTATTTTTAAATTATGAAATATTTCAAGCATACAAAAATTACAGAGAATCATTAAAAAGTATACACTATTATGAAATAGATATGGATGCCTTGAAGATGGCTGTCCTGGAAAGTTCCCTGTTCTGGGCTGTGGTTTCTCCACGCTGCCCGAAGGGGGACAGAACCAAAGCCGGTGTGAGCTGACACCCCTGGAAGATGGAGGGGCTGGGGCTGAGCCAGGCCTGCCCTGCCCACCGTGGGCAGCCAGGGTGAGCTGGACATCTCGCAGGGGTCCGACACCCTCTGCATGAGTACATGAGGCAGCGAGGCAAAGAACCTCAAGGCGAGGGCTGGCTGGAAGCCCTGAACGTCGCAGCCCAGACCCAAGAGCCCCACGGCTGCATCCCAGGTCTGCGACTCCGAGAAGCTGTCCTGGTGACTCTTTCCACCTGTGGTTTTGCTTTTTAAATAAATGCTCACTCTCATCAACCCCCAGGCACAGGCCCAGGCTGAAGAGGAAAGACAAGAGCCGCCCTGCCCAGAAACGTCCACATGTGGGTACTGCATTCCTACCGGTGTGACAGGTCAGTGTGACAGGTCGGTGTGACAGGCACCGGTGTGACAGGTCGGTGTGACAGGCACCAGTGTGACAGGCACCAGTGTGACAGGTCGGTGTGACAGACACCGGTGACAAGTCAGTGTGACAGGCAGTGGTGTGACAGGCACCGGTGTGACAGGTCGGTGTGACAGGTACTGTTGTGACAGGTCGGTGTGAGACACTGGTGTGACAAGTCAGTGTGACAGGCAGTGGTGTGACAGGCACCGGTGTGACAGGTCAGTGTGACAGGTACTGTTGTGACAGGTCGGTGTGAGACACTGGTGTGACAAGTCAGTGTGACAGGCAGTGGTGTGACAGGTCGGTGTGACAGGCACCAGTGTGACAGGCCCCGGTGTGACAGGTAGGTCATGCTGTGACAGGCCCCGGTGTGACAGGTCGGTGTGACAGACACCAGTGTGACAGGCCCCGGTGTGACAGGTAGGTCATGCTGTGATAGGCCCCGGTGTGACAGGTCGGTGTGACAGGCACCAGTGTGACAGGTAGGTCATGCTGTGATAGGCCCCGGTGTGACAGGTCGGTGTGACAGGCACCAGTGTGACAGGCCCCGGTGTGACAGGTAGGTCATGCTGTGACAGGCACCGGTGTGACAGGCCCCGGTGTGACAGGTCGGTGTGACAGGCACCGGTGTGACAGGTCGGTCACGTTGGCTCCCTGGCACGCGGCAGAGTGGGGACCGTGCCCCCGTGAGTGTCACACTGGGGTCCACACCAGGCTGATCCACTGTGAGCTGGGAGTTGCCATAGAGACTCTATAAATACAACCAAACATCTTCCAGGGAACAGAAGCGTTTCTCATCCCAAACCTCCACATGGCCCTGGAGATCCCCAACACCTTAGCAAAGGCCAGGTCTTCACGGAAGTGTTTCTCCCGAAAGCCCCCACCGGCGAGGGCCCCCGGAACCACCGTGAAGGGCCCGCGGGGCCAGGGGCCGCCTACCTCACAGGTGTCCATGTCCTGGGACAGCTTGAGGCCCCCACGCCCGTCACAGTGGCAGGTGTAGCTCCCTGGGGAGTTCACGCAGACCTGCTCACAGCGGCCCTGCAGACACTCGTCCACATCTGCCAGCCAGAGGGAAGCGGCGGTGAGCCGGGGAGGCCTCTACGCTGTCCCGCCGTGGGATCACACCGCGATTGCTCAAACCACACGCAAGGTGCGCTCAAGGAATTACATGCAGATTCTAACGGGGGCGGCTTGGGGGTCGCGTCCCCCCCCACTGGAAAGCTAGGTTGCACCCTCGGCCTGCTCCTGCCCGGGCTCTTTCTTGAGGGAATAAAAATGTCGCAGGTGTCCCAGGAGGGTGCTCCCAACGAGCCAGACCCACCCCCGCTGCCGGGCCGGTGTGGAAGGCAGGTCTGGGAAGCACAGGGTCTGGGCTGTGCAGTGAGGTGTCCCCCGGAGCACAGAGGGGCCGACAGCTGTGGTGGGAAATGGAGGTCAGTGCAGGCAGCCTGGGCTTCCCCACCCTCTCTGTCTGCCTACTCAGCCCCACTGTTCCCATCACTGGGGGCACGGCCCCTCTTAGAGGCTCTACGGCCAACAGGGCCCTCCCCATGGCGGCTGGAAAGAGAGAACAGTAGAGGGAGGCTTGCTGCTCCCCGTCCCTTTGGGGAGAGGCCCCGTCTATGCAGGTGGAGAAGGGTACACACGTGTGTACATGCGGTGTATATGCATGTGTGCGGTTCGTTCATGTGCACAAGGGGCATGGGTGCCTGTGTGTGCTCACGTGTGTGCGGGCATGGTGGTAGCACAGGCCATTACCAGGCTGATAGAAACAGGGAGAAAGAGACTTTCTTTCACCAGAAGCACCCGGTTGTTAGCAACCGGCTCGGGCAGTGACTGGCACCCGTGTCTAGACTTGGGCGTCAGAGAAAGCGAGGGTGACCGCGTGGCGTGGGTACCTCGGCAAGCCTTCTCCTGGGAGCTGTACGCAAAGCCCTCGTCACAGAGGCAGGAGTAGGAGCCGGGCAGGTTCTTGCAGCGCGCCTCCCCGCAGGCCTCCGAGTCTGCGCACTCGTCTATGTCTGCAAGCAAAAAAAAACCGGCCAACCGCAGCACAGCGGCATCTCAGACGGGGCTGGGGCAGGCGGCTGCAGGGACTGGCCAGGGCACCACCCAGAGGTCGCATCCAGACTCTGTGGGGCCAGCGCGCCCTGGCCCCATTTCCCTGCCCTCCTCCCCTGACCGGGCAGCTCCCGGGGTGTTGGTGCACGCTTCTGATCAAGGCCCGGCTGGGAAGGCTGACTTCAGCCCAGCAGGTGGAGAGCTGGGAAGGGCCCTGCTTGGTGGAGGGGTGGGGGGCGGCGGTGCACGCTGTGCTGTTCCATTTAAATGACGGTGCTACAGGACACGGGGCCGTAAAAAGTAACCCCCCGGGGGCATTTGAAACTAAAACCCCAACCCCAAAGAGAAGCATTTACTGGTTTCAATCAATTTTCACTACCGGGTTAAACCACAATCCTAAGACTTGAGCATCTAATGTGGGACAGATGCTGTTTACGGCCAAGCACCCTGGGGTAGGAGGGGCAACCCTGAAATGAAGAGCCCTTTAGTCACCAGAGGAGAGCAAAGGCAGGGGCACGGAGAAAGGTGGGGGAGGAGAAGGGGGAGTAGGAGTGGGAGGAGGAAGGGGGGAGGGGAAGGAGGAAGAGGAGGAGGAGGAGGGGGAGAAGGGGGAGGGGGAGAAGGGGGAGGGGGAGAAGGGGAGGGGGAGAAGAGGAGGGGGAGGGGAGGAGGGGAGGAGGAGGGGGTAGGGAGAGGATGGAGAGGAGGGGGAGGAGGGGGAGGAGGAGGAGGGGGAGGAGGAGGGGGAGGGGGAGGAGAATGGGGAAGGGAAGGAGGAGGACGGAGGGGGAGGAGGACGGAGGGGGAGGACGACGGAGGGGGAGGAGGAGGAGAAGCAGGGAGGAAGAGGAGAAGGTGAGGGAGGGGTGGGGGAGGAGGTGAGGGAGGGGGTGGGGAGGGGTGAGGGAGGGGGTGGGGAGGGGTGAGGGAGGGGGTGGGGAGGGGTGGGGGAGGAGGAGGAGAGGGGAAATAAGGATGGGGGAGGAGGAGGGGGAAAAAGAGGAGGGGGAATGAGGAGGAAGAAGAGGGGAATGAGGAGGAAGAAGAGGGGAATGAGGAGGAGGAGGGGGAGGAAGAAGATGGGGAGGAAGAGGGGGAGTGGGGGGAGGAGGAGAAGAAAGAGGAGGAGGAAGATGAGGAGGAGGAGGAAGATGGGGAGGAGGAGGGGGAGTGGGGGGGAGGAGGAGGGGGAGTGGGGAGAGGAGGAGGGGGAGTGGGGAAAGGAGGAGGGGGAATGGTGGGGAGGAAGAGGAAGATGGGGAGGAGGAGGAGAGGACGGGAATGCCTCTGTCACTGTGGGCAGTAACTGTGAGCCTAGACTTTGCCGGGAGTGCCCGACTGGTGCAGGGACCCACGGGAGATGCTTTAGACGTCATCTCTCAGGATCGGCCTAGTCTTCACCTCTCTTTAAACCTGGGGTGCTGCTGTCTTCCAGGTCAGGGATAGAGCAGTGATGGGAGGGGCTCTGTCCTCGGCGGGGAAATGGGTTTATGTGTTAAGATGGGAATCACGTCATCTGCACACAGGGCTAACTCCTGGGTGGTCAGGGAAGGGAACCACCAAAGTGGACAGAAATAGCAGCTGCCTTTTGAAATCGGGGGATGGGGTGTGGCCCCTCCTGTCTGGTCAGATTCACTCTCCAGATCCTGGGGCTGTTTCTCCCTGAGCAACTGTCTGTCCTGTCCACGCAGTTCGGTGTCCTGGACAGTCAGCAGCAGCGCTAAGAACTATGCCAGAAACTCTCAGGGACACGCCTGGGCATGTCCAGATACAACGTGGGGAGGGAGGAGGAAGGTGCTCCCCCTGCAAAGTGGCAAAGGGCCAGTGGCAGCAGCAGCACCTGGAACAGCGTCGGGGGCGCGCACATTCACAGTGACTTTCTGGGGTGTCCTGGGGCTCCCCAGCTCTGGCCCTGGGCTGAGGGAACCCCAGACTGAAATATGAAAGGAAGTGGGGAGGGCAGGGCTATATTTAGTGGACAGAGGGAGACCAACAACGGGGTGCTTCTGGGGATGCTGGGGAGAGTGGACGGCGGGGGGACCCTAGCCTGGAGCCCTGACCCACAAGCTCACTACACAAGTGCCTGGAGCACTTCCAGGCTCTGTGAGGCTCTGGGGAATGGACGAGGCCCTACAGCCAGCAGTGTGGCCTCATGGGCTGGGCCGGCCCCCTGAGTCCTGGCCCTCAGATGCCGGGTGAGTCATCCTGGTGTGGTGCCGAGCAGCTCCCTGTGCTGCGGCTGGCCTGGGCTTGTGTAGTCTCTGCAGGATGCCCCATCCCATCCAGAACCACAGGAACCCAGCCAGCAGCAGCCGCTTGCAGAAGAGCAGACATGACCGAAAATAGAAGGTGGGGAGAGGAGAGAGGAGAGAGGCCTCACCCCAGGGCCTTACCTTGGCAGGTCCTGCCATCAGAGGAGAGCTCGAAGCCGCTGTGGCAGGAACAGTGGAAGCTACCCGGCTTGTTGTGGCAGATCTGGAGGCAGCCCCCGTTCTCCTGGCTGCATTCGTTGACATCTGGGAACAAGCACAGGCCTGAAGGGGAGCCCAAGGGTGCACAGCCCCTGGCTACGGTAGGAAGAGATCCCAGAGGTGCACAGCCCAGCCCTGGAGCAGGGAGGGAGCCCAGAGGTGCACAGCCCAGCCCTGGAGCAGAGAGAGATCCCAAAGGTGCACAGCCCAGCCCTGGAGCAGGGAGGGAGACCAGGGGTCACAGCCTAGCCCCGGAGCAGGAGGAAGGGACCCCGGGGGTGCACAGCCCAGCCCTGGAGCAGGGAGGGAGCCCAGGGGTGCACAGCCCAGCCCCGGAGCAGGAGGAGGGGACCCCGGGGGTGCACAGCCCAGCCCTGGAGCAGGGAGGGAGCCCGGGGGTGCACAGCCCAGCCCCGGAGCAGGAGGAAGGGACCCCGGGGGTGCACAGCCCAGCCCTGGAGCAGGGAGGGAGCCCGGGGGTGCACAGCCCAGCCCCGCAGCAGGAGGAAGGGACCCCGGGGGTGCACAGCCCAGCCCTGGAGCAGGGAGGGAGCCCGGGGGTGCACAGCCCAGCACTGGAGCAGGGAAGGAGCCGGGGGGGTGCACAGCCCAGCACTGGAGCAGGAGGAAGGGACCGCGGGTGTGCACAGCCCAGCCCTGGAGCAGGGAGAGAGCCTGGGAGTGCACAGCCCAGCCCCCGAGCAGAGAGAGATCCTAGAGGTGCACAGCCCAGCCCTGGAGCAGAGAGGGACCCCAGGGCTTGGACCTCACACCCCACTCAGCAGCCCTAGCGTTTCATGGCCCCTGGTCCTGGCCTTGCGTGTGGAGGTAGATGGTGGGAGGGCATGGGGGATCCCCAGCTGCGGTCTCAGCCTGGGGAGCTGCTGGCAGTCACAGCCCACAGGGCTCAGCTCCCTGGATGCCCATGTGCTTGCAGGAGGAGGCTGCAGGCCAGGAGTGACCTCTGGGTGCCGAGGACAGACAAGGCCAGGCCAGAGCTGGCCACTCCTTAGCAAAGCCCTCCCAGGCCACCTGTGGGGTAGGATTTGCCAAAGGGGACAGGCTGGCCTGCTGGGCTCTCCACTATGGGTCTCCACCAGGCCCTGGAGCTATTCTTCCTCCAGGGTCTTCACTGACACCACAGGTCTACACTGAAGGACGGTCAGAGGTGAAATCTCCCCCCGGCCTTTCAATCAGTGGGTGCCACTGACACCACAGGTCTGCACTCAAGGACGGTCAGAGGTGAAATTTCCCCCCCGCCTTTCAATCAGTGGGTGCCACTGACACCACAGGTCTGCACTCAAGGACGGTCAGAGGTGAAATTTCCCCCCCCGCCCTTCAATCAGTGGGTGCTGAGGCATCACTTGGTGTTTCCTTTCCTTCCAGCCCTGCTCCCAGAAAGGAGACTGCAGCTCCTCCCAATTCTCCTGGGGCTCCAGGATACCTCAGGGCTGCAGCCTCCTTGGGGCTGTCGGAGAGCAGCCTGAGGATGGCCGTGCCCCGGAGTGGGAGTGAGGAGCGGGGATCAGGGCAGGGTCGGAGATGGAGGGAGACCCCGCCTTTGTCTTCAGCCTCACGTACCTTTGTCGCAGAGCCGGCCCCCCCAGCCAGCTTTACACAGGCAGAAGAAGTTGCCCATGAGGTCCTGGCAGGCTTGGGTCCCCTTCCTATCGCAGGGGTTGGGCGTGCACTGGTCAGGCAGGTCTGATTGGGGACACAAAGTGGAAAATCATGTTCAGCTGCCCCACCCCTGCGCGCCCAACGCAGCTGAGATCGGGGCGGCTGTGGGGTCTCGGGTCCAGCCCGGAGGAGCTCTGAGGGGCGCAGGCTGAGGCAGCCCCTGGGCACCCGAGCCCTCTGTGCTGGCCTAGGGCTGACAGAATAGGCTGGCGGGCCCTGGGGCCGGCTCCAGGAAAACTCAGATCAACTGGGAGGGAGTGCCAGCAGGCCTGGACGCAAGGTGGGAAGGGCTGAGGGCAAAGGAGCAGGAACTGCCTGGCGTGAGGCCTGGGAGCTCAGACCTCCCAGGGAGTAGGCACACAGAACCCCCAGCTGACCTGGGGGCTTCCAGGCAGACTCGGAACATTCTGCCTTCCCTGGCCAGCCCCTAGCCCATCTCTGGTGAACTCTCCCTGCTGGGTGTGGCGGGGAGGACCCCAGGCCCAGGCTGCACTGCCAGAGGGGTCCTCCAGGAAGCCCCCCTCTTTCTGCTTAGCTGCCCCCTCTCCACGTGTCTTGATGGCTTTAGGCCAGGTGTGTTCTGCCCTTTCTCAGGGTGGTCACCTGGGCTCAGCTCCTGCAGGGCCAGAGGTCAGGGGAACGGGTGAGGGCCTGAGGGTGGGAACCCGTGCCAGTGCAGCTGCTTCCCAAGCAGTCCCCCATCCGAGAAGCTGCTCACAAACACATTCATACGAGGAGCTGCTCACAAACACGCTTCCAGGACACGGACCCAAACCACGTCCCAGAGGCAGGCAGGGAAGCCCCCGACAGTGCAGTTACGCAAGCCTGAGCCCCGGGAAGTTGGCAGAAAGAACGACAATTACACCCGGAGCTCAAAGAATCCTTTCATGGCTGCTGGCAGAGCAGAAGCAGCTCGGGGCTGAGCATGGCAGTGCTCAGGGGCGCGGTCCACACTCAGCTCAGCCCCACATGAGGACTCAGCCACGCTCAGCTTAGCCACACAGGGCTCCGTGGGGAACCCTGGGTAGGGCCCCCCTGCTGGCTGAGAGAGGGCTCCGGTCCATTGATTCCACACAAGTTCAATAAGGACCAGTCCCTGGGAAAAGTGCAGGCCGGGCCAGCAGGGCCCTAGGGCACTGGGCCAGCATCGTCCTAAGGGGTCAGCCCTGGTGGGGGCACGTCGAGTCTTCAGTGCATGGGCTCTCACTGCCAGCGTGTCGCTTCTGTTCCTGAGGCTCCCAAGGTGACGTTTCCCACCAGGTCTGTAGAATGTGGCGTTTCCACCAGAGGGTCTGGGCTCGGCTGTCAGTGCAGGAGCCGCTTCCATCCCCACCTGGCCGGGGTCAGGGGTGCCCGGTGCCAGGGTGAGCGGCGGGCGGGTCTGTGGTTCACAAAGCTGAGTTCCTCCAGCTCATCCAGGGCTTACAGTCACTGCCTGTGGCCGGCACAGACACAGCCCCTGTCCTCCTAGGCGGGTCCAGGCACCGCGCTCACCAGAGGCCCTGGCTACGAGTCCCAGGCTTCTTGGGGAAGCTGCCCAACCACACTGGCTTCTTTCTGCGACGCTTCGCCGTATGCCTCACAGCGTTTCCTCCGTATGCCTCACAGTTTGCTCCGTACACCCGCGTTTCCTCCGTATGCCCCAGTTTCCTCCATATGCCTCAATTTCCTCCATACGCCCCACAGTTTCCTCCGTATGCCCCAGTTTCCTCCATACGCCCCGGTTTCCTCCATACACCCCACAGTTTCCTCCATACGCCCCACAGTTTCCTCCATATGCCCAGTTTCCTCCATACACCCCACAGTTTCCTCCATATGCCTCAATTTCCTCCATACGCCCCCCAGTTTCTTCCATACACCCCACAGTTTCCTCCATATGCCCAGTTTCCTCCATACACCCCACAGTTTCCTCCATATGCCCAGTTTCCTCCATACGCCCCCCAGTTTCCTCCATACGCCCCACAGTTTCCTCCATACGCCCCACAGTTTCCTCCATACGCCCCACAGTTTCTTCCATACGCCCCACAGTTTCCTCCATATGCCCAGTTTCCTCCATACACCCCACAGTTTCCTCCATATGCCTCAATTTCCTCCATACGCCCCCCAGTTTCTTCCATACACCCCACAGTTTCCTCCATACGCCTCAATTTTCTCTGTACGCCCCACAGTTTCCTCCATATGCCTCAGTTTCCTCCATACGCCCCAGTTTCCTCCATACGCCTCAATTTCCTTTGTACGCCCCAGTTTCCTCCATACGCCCCAGTTTCCTCCATACGCCCCAGTTTCCTCCATACGCCTCAATTTCCTCTGTATGCTTCAGTTTCCTCCATACACCTCAGTTTCCTCCGTCTGCCTCACAGTTTCCTCTATAAGCCTCAGTTTCCTCAGTACACCCCACAGTTTCCTCCCTACACCTCCGTTTGCTTGTTTTGCACAAATGACTGACAACAGAACACTTGTGGGTGTGGACGGAGCTCGCGTCTCGAAGTGTTTCTAAGATGCTATTTTCAGCAGGTCACTATAAACGCTTTCTACTCTGAAGCACACAGGGGCTGGGGCTGGCCTTCGGAGTTACGAGGAAACGAGGACCAGGACCAGGGATTCTGCATCAGCACAGCCGCCAGGAGCCGGCCGGGGCCCCATCCCTGACACTGCTGTCGCCCGGCTGTACCTGGGTGCTGTGTCCGCGGGGCGTCTGGAGACGTCGATGTGGTCATAGCAGGGCCTGGAACGGGGAGGTCTGGCCTGAACTAGAGAAATGAGGGGCGTATCCGCTTCTCCACCCTGGCCTCAGATGAAGAGGCTCTGGGGGCAGGAGGGAGTCAGACACGTGCAGGGCAGGCGGCCTGTGCAGGGCCCAACCCTCCGGCACCAGAACCTGACCTCCTCAGAGGCCCCCACCATGGAGGGATGTCTGGGGGATGCTGTGCGCTGCCGCTACGATGTTTGGTTAGAGATTAAAGCCATTTCAGAAGTGGACACCTGCCCATGTGATGCAAAGGGCTGGGAACCCGGTCTTGACTTTGCCTGGAATGCCTTTCGGAAAGACCTCTGTCCCTGAGGCTGAGGGACAGTGCCTGCTCCTGCCAGGTGCCCAGCTCTTAAGCGGTCCCCAGACTCATGCCACCTGCCCCGGGGCCTCCCCCAACTCATTTGTTTATTTCCCTGTTGGGAATGTATTGATACCTCTAGGATGCAAGGACGGAACCACACCTGAGGGGTGGACAGTCAGCCGGTGCCCAGCAAATATCTGTGGAATTTCCTCCACACAACAGGGAAAGCGATGGAGACAGAAACCTCTGCAGGCCCCCGAGGGCACCCACTTCCCTGACCCCGTCCACCTCCCTGACCCCCGCCCACCTCCCTGATCCCCATCCCGCAAGCTGGGCCTAGGGTATCGGTGGCCTGGCTGGTCATGCCCTGGGCGCCAGCGCCTGTTCAGGAGGTGAAGGGTTTATCTCAGCTTGGCCCATGACTGCGTTGAAGGACAGGAGGGAGCGGCTGTGGCTGTGGCTGGAATCTGAAGCCGGTGCGGGCGGCCAGGGCCTTTCCCTGGGTGGTGACGAGCGAGGACCAGAGCCCTGTCTGCCCGAGGGAAGGGCGAGGGGACACTCCCCGTGGCGGGGGTGGGATCCCGGTAGCCGGGGCTCAGTGACCGCTGCCTGGGCCACCGCCTGTGGGGACCTGACCTTCCTGGGGAAACCCATGGGTCAAAGGAGCCGAGAAATCCAAGCACCAAGTGGCCGCTATGGCAGGACGGGCGCGTTCGCAGTGGAGAAGCTGGGTGTGTCCGTGGGAAAGGAAAGAAATGGAAGCAGAGGCTCTTCAGGGGCACCTGGGAACGCAGCCTACACTCTTCCCAGGCCTCCTCCCTCCGTCCACTGTGCCGCCTGGGTCCTGGGACAGCCTGAGGGCCGCAGGCTCCCATGCAAGGCCCGCTGGGGGCCTGCTTGTCTGGGGCTGAATTTGGACTTTATGGGGCTATGGCTTTAATTTCACAATGACCGATAACCAGTGAACTGAAGCCAGGACAGCACCGTGAGCACCAAGTCAGAGAATTTTCACGAGGGAACCAATGAACAGGAACAGAGTGTGAGGCTGCCCCAGCTGCATCCTCCGGGAGGCGCCTTCCCAAGGGAGTGCAAGGCTGCCTGCTGTGGCCAGGCCACCAAAGCACCTTCTTCACCGCCAGGCATCTTTTGAGGCACGCGAACATCAGAGGCCCCAGCCACGTGCTCTGGAGGAGAAGCTGAGAGCCCCAGGCCACAGGCAGGGCAGCCTCTGAGGGCCGGCTCAGGGAGAGTGGCCGGAGCTTCTGGCCTGGGGCAGGTGGACCCGTTAGAAACTGCATGTGTTGCCTCTGGCACCAGCCACAGCAAGAGATTCTCTTCCTATCACACAGGGAACAAACTCAAGGATCTTGACCTTGCCCTCCTCTCCCCAGCTGGCCGCACTTGGGGACGCTGATGCCACAAAGGAAATAACCAAAACAAGATAACTCTATTGGGCGGCGGGAACAGAAAGGAACATGTAGCAATCACTCCTCTTCATCCATGCAAGGAAGCGAGGCGACGCCTTGAAAAGGACGGCCTTCTTTGCTGCAAATAGCCAGAAGTGAACTGAGCAAAGGAAGCACGGGACGCACAGGAAGAAAAGTGCTCCAAGGGACGGACAGGACGGTGCCGGGGTTAGGAAAGCGCAACACTGTTCAGACACAGTCTCCGATATATGAATGGCAAGCCCAGTTAAAAATATCTAAAGGGCTTTTTTAGGTTTTTAAGAATATTTTTAAGGTTTAGTTTTATTAAAAAATAAGCAAGACAACCAGAAAAAAGACTGAGGAGGGCATAGGAGACCCACCCGCGTGCATGAGGCCGAGTCTAAAGCTGTGGCCACGGCCTGTGGAAACCCGGCAGAAAATCTCCCAAATACCCAGCATATGAGGACGGCAGCAGGTGAGGCACTGGGGTGAGACAGACTCAAATGTGTGGTGTTGGGGCAGGAACTGAGCCTGCAGTCTAGATCCCCACCTCATCCATCACGTCAAAAGAAATTACGGGCGGGTCACAGATGAAAACACCTAACAGCAGGTAACTGTTTTGTAATCTTGGGGAGAAGCCTAAAGCCCAGGAACTAAGAGAGTATAACAAGTGTGAATACAGAATTTAAAAGAAGAGACTGGTTTAGCAATCACTAAGATAAAACACGCGTGACAGGATCTGCTTGTCTCCTCTGAGCACGCAGGAGCCTCTGCCCCAAATGCAGACATTGGGCCCTACGTGGCACCTGGCTACTGTGCATGGTTGCAGGTCAGGGCAGGCCGGGCCACAGGGCAGGGCCACCCTCCCATTCCCATGTTTACACTGAGCATTTCCTCTGCCTGTGTCTCTTGGGCTGGGGTCTGTGATACAAGTCCGGGAGGCCAGAGACGCCCACGGACAGTGCGTGGGGCTTGGGGAGCGGGACTGAGCCACCTCTGACTCCTTCTGCTGACTGGGATCCAGCTCCAAAGCCATGCCTGGGAAGAGACTCCTGCCTCTCCCAGGATGACTCCGTCCCGCCACGCCTCTGCTCTCAGCGCCCACAGGGACTCACCAAGCTGGACTTTCATCTAAAACTAGACACACGTGACGCCAGCGGACCACAGACCCAGTGCAAGGGGAGCTGTGTGGGTTGTGCTGAAGGTATGTTAAAATTCATACAGGACACCCAAAACAATCAATCTTATTGCATGATAATTTTAAAATAATAAAAAAGACTTGTGGCAAGCTGAAAAAATTTTTGATAACTTTACTACCAATGGCTAATGTGCAAACTCCTACAAATTGAGAAAAACAGGCAAAAAATATAAACAACAGTTTATAGGAAAAGAAATACACAGTTTTTAAACCTATGAAGGACAGCTTTACTCATTAGTTAAAAAAAAAAAAAAAAACCTGAAATGACTGATGTCATTTCTCGCCTGTTACATTGGAAGAGATCAAAAGTTTAAAAAAACAGTTCATTCACCCCTGCAGGGGCGGAGGCTAAGGCTGGCTCTGGGATAATTTGGCAGTATCTGTATCCAAAGGAAACATGAGGACTGCCTCTGCGATTCCATCCTTGGGAACGCATCCCGCAGACACTCAGACGTGTGGGAGGCAACAGGTGCATGAGGATGTCACGCCAGTTTTGTTTAAATGATGGAAATTGGAAATAACCTGGACATCAGCCAATATGCATGGGCTAAGTTCATATGATGCACCGGCTGGAAATGCCAGCGTGAAGGTGAGACACGCTAAGAGAGGGTCTCCTGTGCAGACAGAGTTGCAGAGGCACGGGACAGACCGTGTGTGCTAAGCCGCCACGCGTGTGAAGAGCGGAAGGCCGCTCACACATGTTTACATGTCTAAGCACAAGATTCTTGGAACTGTAACTACGGTGGTGTCTGACTGGACGACTCAGAGGCGGGGATGGGCTTTCACATCACACTCTGTGAAACATTTACATTTTGTTCCATGTGCATTTATTGCCTATTGCTAAAAACGTCAAAATTTACTTGTTTAAAAAAGAAAGTTTGGCGAAAAGGGAGCAGGCCTCGGCAAGGGACCACAGCTCCTTAAAAAACAGAACTATTCAGGGCCCTCCACAAACCACAGCCAAGCCTAAAGCCGCCCAAACCCACAGTGCTCCCAGGAAGGCGCAAAGGAGGCCGACTTACTTTGCACGCAGGTGGCGAAGCCTGAGTTTTTGGTGTACGGAGACCCATACTTGTTGATGCAGTCTGCAGGAAGAAAGGGAATGGATGTCAGTCATCCTTACAAGACCGGATGGACTGCAGAGCCTCTGCTTCTGAGACGCTCTGGAGAGGCAGTTACTCTGCTTACCTGGGGTGCTATCATCCTCCAGAAACAATGCCGCTTAGCTTGTGTTAATAAAAAACATGTTAGCCCCAACCCTGACAAACAGGAAACCACCTCCACCAACTCAGCGGAGTTGTGCACCCACAGTCAAGTGCGTAAAGCACCGCCCGCCGTTTCGAGGGGGCTCCTCCTGCCATACGGGAGAATCACCGGGAATGCTCAGTAAGTTCCTGACGGTACTCGAAAAGCTAAACTTCATTTTCCAGTGGACCCCCATTGGGAAACGCTGTGCTTAACTGGAAAGCCACTCTGCTTTGGAGAAAGCCCCTCCATGCTCTCTGGCTGGCTGAACACAGCTTGACAGCAGACATCCCGCTAGGGCGGCGGGGGGAGGCGAGGCCTGGCACATGCACATCCAGGGATAACCCGAAGCGTGAGGTTGTGCAGAACGGTGCGGGGCCTCTCGACCTGGCCCTTCAGTGGGTTACTGTTGCTTATCCAGGCGCAGAACGGCACGGATGAACAGCGGAAGGCCTCCTGCAGGTGTGCTGTGGACCGCTGGCCACCCCCTGCTTCAGAACTCAGTCCTCGCTGGTGCCTGGGCTTTCTGGGCCAGTGCCAGACCCACTGTGTTTGTTCCAGATATGGACCCAGGGAAGGACCCTTTAAGAGGACATTTACTAAAATGCACTTTGCAACATTAAAAAGAAGACCCTGGAATACATTTCTCTCCTTCTAAGTGAAATGCTCTCAAAGAGCTCTAAGATGGTGTCAGTTAAACGGGCTGACCCGGGGTCTCTGGGTTTCACTTTCTTGCTGTCCTCCCTTCCCAAGTGTACAGTGGGGGTCTCCAGAGGCCGCCCCACATGCACCAGCTGCTCTGATGGCTGAGATAACGTCTGGCATTCCCGTTCTTCAAATTAAACAGAAACACTATTCAGTGTTTTCGGTTTTAATTAAGAATACGGTAAATATCAGTCAATACAGCCCACATGAACATGGACCCCTTTGGGGTCCTCAATGACTTCAGAAGTGATTAGTGCTGAGGTCAGAAAACCGGAGGACAAAATCAATTACACGTCCTGACAAGGAGCTGAGCCTGGCATCAACTCAGAGAAGGGGTTTGCAGATAACAGCATTCACCTGAGGTTCCACTAACACGGAATAAAGCTGTGGTATAAAATAAAGAGAGAAACTTGTGTTTCTGACCTGCATGTTCCGGACAGTTCCACGTGCACCATGTGATTAAGAATCTTCCTTCCAAGAGTTACGTGGTGAGGAGATTCCTCCAACATGAAACACGCACCCCCAACTATGCCTCTACGACAACCAGAGTAGAGAAGTAATTGAGACTTACCTAAGTATCTTGGGTAAAAATAATCCTGTGGAAAAAGAAAAAGAAAAGGCAAGCATTGACCGGCACACTACGAGGGTCTCTGAACAACATAAGCATCAGCTGGTTAATCAGAGGCTGCTCTCGGGGCAGCCAGAGGGCCGCCCCACCCGGGGAACTGAGGGGAAGTGACCGGGGCACGACTGCTGTGAGACCAACAAGCAAAGGCAGGGCCATTTCCAGCTGCGTAGGAAGTGCTACCAGGTGTGTCCAGGGGAGAGGCCTGCCCAGGAGGACAAGAATGCTTCCAAGTAAAACCCCACTCTTAGTTCCCTGTTGACATAAGGGTCTCTAAAACCCAAAGACCTTAGTTCCCTGTTGACACAAAGGTCTCTCAAAACCCCAAAGACCTTTCTTTTGGCACACGGGCATTGATTTGCACTTATAGTATTGGTGAAACAAAATTGGTACTGGGTGAGGATGGAGGCTGTAATGAAGGGTCTTCTTATCCATGAAAGCGCACTGACGAGGTCCACATTCGACACAAGTGAGCTGTCGAGTCCTGGAACCACCTGCCTGTCACTTGGCCAGCAGAGGCCGGCCGGAAACTTCTTCAGGATCCTTTTGCCATGGCCCACAGATTCTAGGGCCACAGCCTGGTTAAAGCAGCCTCCAATCTCCAGCTTAGGGTCAACCATGCCAGCAGTTTGGCCCTAAATGCTCTAAACCAAGAGACCACAGTCATGGCAGAATAGTCCCAGCGGCCTCTCCATGCTGGGTATGAGTCAGCATTTTTACACTATTTTATGAAATCCTCACAAATAACACCCAGGAAGGTCTTTTTAATCCCATTATCAGGAATGAGGAAACCCGGCTTCAGGATGGTTGTGGGATTCACCTGGGGGCATGAAGGTCAGGATTAGCAGGCGCTGGTAGCATTTTGCAGAGTAGCAGACAGAGGCGGTAGGTACCCAGCGCCGTCTGCAACGCGCCTCTGGCTTCATGCGCTGGCTCTGCATGGCCTTTCTGCCTCCTTCCCACCTCTCTCCCACACTTGCTGGCCTTGCCACACCTTTTGTGGGAAGAGCCTGGAGGCCCCGCCCCAGCCTTGCCAACACCCTCCTGAGGCCTGCTTGGATGTGTTTTCACAAAGTTGTGTTCTAGGAAAGATGGGATGCTCTTAAACTCTTACTCCCTTAAGAGAAAGGAAGGGTCAGGGTGAGCTGGTGTGCAGCTCACGTGTCTGTTGGGAGGGCGGCCGCCCTGAAGGCCAGGAGGGCTGCAGACCTGGAACACACACCCTCATGCCTGCCCTCATTTCTCTCACTTCCAATTTTAGTCATGGGTTGGCAAACTCCAAGAAAAGGCAAGAACAGCCATACCAAGTGAGCCCTGGTGGAGTCCTGGAGCAACACGAAGTGGCACCAGGTTTCTAGGCTTGGAAGGAGAAGGGAAGTGATGGGGCTTTGTCTCAAAGCAGGAGGCTCTGGCTCTGAAATAAAAGACTTGCGAGGGATGCAAAAGGTGTCCTTTCAGGTTTAGAAGCCAGGGATTGAAAACAACTAAGAACTAGTGAGCAAACGGCCTAACTATACACAAATGCTTGCATTACCACAGCTTTACAGCAAGTGTGTTCTATTTTTCAAAATCAAGACTAGTCATACTACTTAATGTGTAATCTGTATTAATACCAAGTTTTATTGTTGCAAAAAGGCATTATTCATGGAAAAACTATGCCAATCTCCTGTCAGTTCGCCACACCTATGGGAATGGGGTTTCTGAAACCACAGGGTTATAGCCCTGGGCACTGTATCCTAATTTGCATGTTTGATTATTTGAGACAGTAATGGAGGCAGAAAGCATATGCTAATTCCACCGGCAAACTAGGGGAAAGATGGTTAAACCATGAGCAAGAGAAAAGCTAAGATGAATAAACCTAAAAACGCTATACACTCCTGAGAGAAAGAAAAAGAGACATTTCACATTTTCCTGAGAACATTCTGGTACACACTCCCAAGAAAGAAAGACATTTCACGTTGTCCTGAGAACATTCTGGTATACACTCCTGAGATAAAGACATTTCACATTGTCCTGAGAACATTCTAGCCAAAGATGTAAGACCCAGAAATGGCTTTGAGTAAAGGCACCCAGATAAGCTCCCTGACCTGCAGAACCAAACACAGAGCACTTTGTCCTCAAAACCCTCCCACCCCTGTCTGCACTACTGCTTGTTCAGGTCCATAAACCTTGGCCTGAAGCCCTGCATTAGCCATATCTCCAGAGCAGCACCCCCAGGAGTCCCCATGGAGCAGAGGCCACCACTCAGGAGGCCGGAATTTAGAACCAGGAGCTCCTTATGTACACACTGACTCTCTTTCTTCTAAACCTAGGAAGAGCAAGACCTATGGTAATGGGTTGGCGTGCTGGGGTTAGGTGAGGGCAACAGGGGGAAGAAGCTGGGATTCCCAGGCTGGAAATGGCGCCATTTGGCCCCTGGAAATCCTTTCCCCGGGGATCTGCTTCTGTTTTATTTGAACAGCTACAGATAAAAATAAGTGAGCAAACCCCAAGCCACTGCACTGTTAGCTGAAGCTTCAAGAGGAAAAAGACAACATCTACCTGCCCAGCACCGAGCCTGGTGCTGACTGTCCCCCAGAGGCCTCATGAGCCGTCACCAAACACATGGATGGATGACAGATGGACAGTGGATGAGTGCGTGAAAGAATGGATGGGTGAATAAATGAGTGGATGGGCAGATGGATGCATGAATGAGTGGGTGGATGGATGGATGAGTGAATGGATGAATGACTGAACAGATGGATTGATAGATGGATAGATGGATGGATAGATGCATGTATGGATAAATGCACAGATGAATGAATGAATGGATGGATGAGTGAATCGGTGGATAGATTAGTGAGTAGGATGGATGAGTGAGCAGACAGATGCATGGATGGATAAGTGAGTGGATGGGTGAATAACCAGATGAATGAATGAATGAATCAGTGGATGAATGAGTGAATGGGAATGAATGAATGGATGAGTGGATAGAGATGGATGAATGAACAAATGAATGAGTGGATGGATGAGTGGGTGGATGAAAGAATGAATGAGTGGGTGGATGAGTAAATGAATGGAGATGGATGGATAAATGAATGAGGATGGACGGATGACTGAGTGGGTAAATGAATAAATGCGTAGATAGATGGGTGAGTGGATGGATGGATGGATGAATGAATAAAACAATGAGTGAATAGATGGATGAGTGAGTGTATGAATGAATGAGTGAGTGGGTGGATGAGTGAGTGGCCAGATGAGTGAATGAATGAGTGGGTGGATGGGTGAGTGAATGGATGAATGAATGAAAGAATGAGTGAGTGGGTAGATGAGTGAGTACATGAATGGATGAGTGGGTGGATAGGTGAATGGATGGACAGATGAATGAATGAATGGGTGAATGAGAGTGAGTAGATAGATGAATACATGAATGAATGAATAGGTGGGTGGGTGAGTGGGTGGGTGAATGGATGAGTGAATGGGTGGGTGAGTGAGTGGATAGATGAGTGAGTGGGTGAATGGGTGACTGGATGGATGGAGATGGATGAATAAATGAAGGAATGAGTGGATGGATGGATGAGCGAGTGCATGGATAGTTGAATGAATGAGTGGGTGGATGGGTGAATGAATGAATCAGTGGGCAAGTGCAAGGGCCTGCAGTTTTCACTCCCACAGAGCACTGAATGCTCAGTTTCACTTAAATCATAGATAAGTACTTGGAAGAAAAGTCAAAATCAATGCTCCCAGTCTGTTTCTTTTAATAATATGGAAGTGTTTGTGCTGTAATTCCTCAAGTTTACAAACCCCCACGTGATTTTAAAACTTACATCCTTGTTATTAACTGACATCTGCCAAACCCACTCTTCTAGGTGGCAAGCGTGGTGCCCACTGCACGGAGGATGCAGCCATTAGGTCTCTCGGAGGTTTGTGTGCTTTGCTGTTCCCGGCAGGGACGACTTGGAGGGCAACAGCCTCCTGGTCAGTGCAGGGCCCCGTCCCTGGGTGAAGCAGGGCAGGTGCTCGGCCTGTGCTCCCGAGGCTCTGGCGCAACTGTGAGTGGCCCAGGATGGCCATGAATGCAGCCCAACATAAATTCGTAAACTTTCTTAAAACATGAGCTTTAGGCACAGACCTTCTTTTTAGCTCATCAGCTACTGTTAGTGTTAATTTTATGTGTGGCCCAAGACAGTTCTTCTTCCAATGTGGCCCACGGAAGCCAAAAGATTGGACGTCCCCGTGCTGGGGGTTCCGGGGCTGGTCGAGGCTGGGAGCCCCGTCTGCAGAAGGTCCCGGTGTGAACAGTGGAGCCGGTGCCTCCTCTGACGCCTCCCTGACTGTGCCCGTTGCCCTTCGGTTTCGTAAGCATGGAGGAAACTGAACCTGAAGCAGCTTGGAGGGAGCTGAGCCCCAGGACAGGAGCCTGGTCTGGCTGGGGTCTAACATGAGGCCCCAAATTTGTTATAAAACTACAGAAAGTGTCTGATGAGTAGATGCCACCTCCGGACCCTGGCATCCGCCTCTGCTGCCTTTGCTCTGCTCAGGAGGGCAGTGGGTGCCGGCAGAATCCATGGGAATTGGTGCAGTGTCACAAAGACCCAAGTCCACCTCCGCCCCTGCCCTGCCCACCACCAGACCCAGGTCTCCCCCGCTCAAAGCCACCCACAGGGCAAAGGTCAAGCATGGCAGGGAGCTGCACACAGGGTTCCCAGGATGGGTCGGCCTCGGGGACCAGGCTGTAGCCTGGCCACCCATGCGGCAACCCTACCAGCAGGGCACTGCGGTTCTCACGCCCCAACCCCCAAATGACCTTTAACCTGGTGACAGGCTTCCTCACCCAGAGCTGTGGTTCAGAACAAGGTGGGGTGACCTCCCCATGCCACCGCAGGAATCAGGCAGCACCCAGCACGTGAAGAGACCCTCCAAGGGGCCGGGGGGACTCTTCCCCTAGGCCTGCTCTGGGGCCCCTGCCTACCTGCCTGCAGCTTGGTGAGGGTTTCCAGTGGTCTCTCGATCCAACTAGACCCTGGGAGGGCCCATTCACTTTTTAAAAATGGCCAAAACCTCCATGCGGTGATGGCACACAACACAGTGCATTAACAAGACAGGAAACACTTTTGGGCCCAAAGTGCACTGAACTGGAAGCACCTCACGCAGCCTAAAGTCAGTTTGGAAGGTTCCAGAACATTTCCTAAACACCTTCATCTCTGAATACACTTTAACTCCTTGGGTCCCAGCAAGGTCTCTGCCTGGTGGTGAGGGGCAGCCAGGGGATTAAGGGCACGGCCCGACCTGACGCTCACTCATCCTTGGGCCACAGTCCCCGCAGAGCTGCAGTGAGGATCAGAGGTCAGTGAACGTGGAGAACCTTCTGCAAACACCCGATGTCAGTCCTGCATAAATCTTTTTGTGTGAGTTTCATCTGCATTCATACAGCAAATAGTGGTTATTTTTCAGAGTGTGCTAAGAATGTATTACTCTCTTTAGCAAATAACAGCCATAAATTTTGTTTCCAAAAATCTTTATCTTACTTGACAAGTGGGTGGAGACTGCTGAGCACAGGGACTCTGTTTATCAACACCATAACTTTCTCTGATATTTTCCATGGGAAATGGTCACAAGAATTCACTAACCCTTTGACCATAGTGCTGTCTTCCAAGAACTTGACTTCTATGAGAAAACTCAGAGTAACGCCCACAGGAACTGCCCTTGGGGAGCCTTCCTTTCTCAGCATTTGCAGACTCTCTGAAGAGCCGCCGTCTTACAGACCCTTGGCCTGGCAGCCCGGCTCTATTCATGTTCTTCTAGCTTGGGAAGTGCAAAATCCTTTCCTTCCTTCCGAATTCGTTTCCTAAGTCTTCACACCCGCAGCAGCCTGCTCTAGCCCTGAGCAAAGTGGAAGTGCTGATCCCACTGCCCACAGGAGGCAGTGCATGGCCCCCAGCCCAGAGGACCCCAGGCTGACCTGGAGGGAGACAGGCCCCAGGAAAGCACAGTCAGTATACCCGGCATGCCCATCTGCACCCAGGGTCAGCGGTGACAGGTGCCTCTGCCCTCCTCCAAGCTCACACCCAGGTGCGCCCTCCCTTGCTGGGAGCCCTCTTCCTGGGAGCTCATCCTGGTGTGACTGCCCGGTCAGATGTGGATGCTGGGAAAGGCCTCTGTAGCTGACTGCACAGCTGTGAGCACCCTCCATGCCTCACAGCACCGACGTGGTGCCTGACCCGGTGGGTAACCAAGCTCTTCTCACAGAAGCCCCGAGACACACATCAGTGTCTCTCATGGGCTTCATGGCAAACGAGACAGAGGAGCTCGAGTGGCTTCCAGCAGCTGCACGGCGGTAACGCCGAGACTCGCCCCGCATGGCAGTGACGCCGAGACTCCCCCTGCATGGAAGTCATGCTGAGACTCAACCCTGCACGGCAGTAATGCTGAGACTCACTCTGCCCGTCTCTGCCCCAAACACAGAGCATGCTCCCGACAGCCCCCAGCAGGGTGTCCTGTGGTGCACAACATTCAGCATGTGAGCGTGGACGCAGGGAAGGAACAGAGCTGCAGCCCCCACAGGCCCTGAGCCAGCACAGGCTCTCATCGAGGAAGGCCCGCTGTCTTTCAGGGCAAGCCCCACCGAGGGCTGCCTGCTTTGAAGTGCAGAGCAGTGACTGTCTCTGGCCATTTGGCAGCATCCTTGCGGGCCCTGAGAGAAGCCAGTCAGGAAGCCACACAGCTGTTGGATGGGAGGGATGCTGGCCACAAGAAACACTACAAGGAGAGAGGCCCAGGACACGCCACTGTTTGCACGTGGTGGGCAGAAGGGAGCCTGGGAAAGTGCTGACTAAAGACAGGCCAGTCTGTGGGGGAGCAGAGGGCGGGGAGGAGGAAGGAAGAGGGTTCCTCCGTGCCCACCCCAGCCCCGGTGGCATCGCTGTCCTGGGAGCAGCCTCGTGCCCGCAACAGCTGCCGTGGAGAGGAAGTGGGATGTCTCACTGCAAATGCTTTGGGAAAAACAAGACAGTGTACTTTGTGATCATATAAAACAGCAAAATAAAATAGTCGTGGGCACAGGGCCAGTGATTCTGCAGTTAGAGCCGTGTGGACTCGGTCCCCATCTCCGGTGAGGGCGTCTCCTGCACACGGCACCCATGCTTCAGGTCGCACACACGTGCCTTGGACCCAAGTTCACCTTTGGAGGTGTCAATCCCCCCAAGAAGATGTGCTAACCTTGGAGTTTGGGGCCTAGGCTTCCATCAGAGTCTTCCCCACAGAAAGCGAACTGGGACTGGTCCCTCAATAAGCTACCGGCCTCTGTTCACAGCAGCACAGGATGAGGATGCCTGGGTCTTGCCAGCCACCACGTTCTATGATCCCAGGACAAACACGATTGCAAAGTTCATGTGTGTTCCCGGCTTACAAATGGGGAGGTTTATTTACGGCCTCTCCGGATCCACGGGGAGCTGCTCCATGGGACGCTGGACAGCTCAGTTCCCTTGAAAGGATGGCTGCACCATCGAGCATGACTCAACCCAAAGATCCAACGCGCAGGGGCCTGGCAGGGACAGCTGTGCTTGGGACGCCGGTGTGCCACTGCCGCTTCTGCGCCGGGAGTCACGCCCCGGCCTCTCCCACTGGGCTCCCAGCCTGAGCTCTGCCCAGCTGGTGTAAGGACAGTAAAGGCAACCAGATGCCCTGACTGCGACCACCACCAATAGTCGCCAAGAGTGCACGCAAGCAGAAATCACAGATGCCCTGGCAGCTGCCTGAGGGACAGGCTTCTCCTCCAGCTTTATCCAAGTTGAGCTGGTCTTCGGCCAGACGACCAAGCTCAGGCCCCAAATTCACCTGGGTTGCTCTGAGGACTGGTGAGACTTAAAGGTCACTTGGACTCCTCCAGTGGCCGGGACACATGTCTCTCTAGTGGACTGGTTGCCTTCCGTGTTGTGAGGACCGGCCAGGCCTGCAGGTTGGTGCCTTCCTCTGGCCTCACTGAGCAGCAACACTCAAGTTCAAACACAAAACCACCATTTATGGTGGAGCCATGGGCTCTGTAGCCCAGCATGACGCACCTGGCAGACCATGTTCACGAGACTAATGCTCCGAGCCACTGACACACACCCAGCTCCCCGCAGCCGCCCTGTGCTTTATGCGCCCACACCAGCACCACTCAGCCCTCACATGGGTGCCAGTATGCTCACAGTCGCCTGCACACAGAGGAGCACACAGTGGGGCCGGGGGTGCTGCCGCGTCCTGCTCTCCCCCAGTCCCAGCGAGCACAGGAGTTAATGACAGAGTGTGGGGCTCAAATGCCCAGGACACACTGTAGCCCTCCACAGCCTCTCAGGGCCTCAGTTTCCACATCTGTAAAATGGCTCAGTGACAGCTGTTACACAGTTGTCATGAGGATGTAACAACTTCACACATGGAGACCCCGAGAACAGCACTCTCAGGAGGACCCGTGCACGATTCATCTTTCAGACTAACAGACGAGCTGAGCGACGGACGAGCTAAGTGATGGATCTGAGAACGGGAGTGATCGGGAAGTGAACAGTTTCATCATCTGCTGCTGCTATTCAATTGTCAGGGTTGAAATAAACGGAAAGCCAGCCTGCCCGTAAACACTGTCATGTATTTCCCACAAGTGTAAAAAGGAAGTGAACAGTATCTTCCAGGTGTGGTGGAGACAGTCCAGACACACCCAAAGCCCACTGCGCCTCCCTGAGAGCTCCCGCGTCCGGGCTGCCCTCATTTGGAGTGGGCAGGAATGCCACACCGCAGCCCTCTCTGCTTCTGCAGGGACGGTCAACTTAGCAATTCAGAAAAGAAACAATGTTGACTCAGAGAGTGGCCTTACTGTACTGTGGACAGTTGGTCCTGGATGGGAGCCAGTCCCAGCCTGGCCGAACGTTTGGCCTTTTTATGCTGAGAATCCAGCCACTGCAGTGACCGGCCCAGGCTCTCTGAGGGCTGGCTGGGTCAAGCTGTGTGTTTTCCATGGAGCCCCAAGTTCCAAGGGGAGGTAGTCACAAAACAGGGTCTAGCAGGTTTGTGGACAGATGTGGAGAAAATGTATTTTCTTATCATAGGCACTAACACTGGAAGGAAAAAAATTTCACCTATAATTTGAAAACGGAGCCCCAGAAAATTAGTAGAACATTAACAAGGCCCAATGCACTTTACTATTTCTTTTGAATATTATACTTTTAATCAACACCCGTCAGTCAGAGCAGAGAGTGCCTCTGTCAGAGTGAAAGGCAAAACTGATACTGTTCTTAACTTATTCCACTTCCAGCTCCCCTTTAAAATTTATTTTAAAACTTTTAAAATGAACCTTTCACTTGGCCAGGGTCAAAATTTACAAGGCGTACACACCAGGTTTGCAGTGAAATCACTGGAATATAAAAACCATGGAAGAGTCCAGAGCATTTCCAACATCAAATACGAAACCCTTAAACAAGCAGCTTTGCATTGGAGAAACAGCTCTCAGTTTTAACCTTAGAAAACAGGGGAAAATGAAGCATGAGGAAACCTGGATGCCTGTCAATCGCTCTGGGGTAAAGCCATAACCTGGGAAGTGCTCAGCATGCCCCAGCTAGCAAGCTTAACGCCCCTTTACTCAGAATCTCAAGAAAGAAGCCATAAGCACTTGCTTCCTAAAAGAGTGTTTTGTTCCTAAATAACAAAGGGAGACGTTCAGCGTTTCTCAAAACGTCTTTAATTAGAGTTTTCCACAGATGTGAAGCTCTCCGGCTCGGGTGAGGGTGTCGTGTGCAGGGCCTGGCACTCGGCTGCCTCTGAGAAAGCCCCGGAGGAGCCTGGCACCAAGTGCCTGCAGACGCCCGGGTGAAAACAAGCATCTGCACAGGTGCGGGCACAGGAGAGGGCTGCGGAGCCAGCACGGAAGACGGCCCTCAGAGGAGGCCGGGCCGGGGTCCACCTGCAGGCCTCAGGATGGGCCCAGGAGGAAAGGCCTTGGCCACAGGGCTCCGGCCCCTCAGGCAGGGGGCTCTGGGAGTGGAGAGACCCTGGGGGTCTGAGGAAGCTGGGGCCACAGAGCCCCGTGACCTTGTGTCACTTTTTAGTGATCCTGCTGCAGCTGTCAGTGGTCTTCTGACCCCAAAGTTGTAGAAAGAGAAAAGTGTGTGAGAGGGTGCACATGTGTCTGTGTGTGTCTGCATGCATGTGGCTGGGCATCCATGTGTGCCTGTGTGTGTATATGTGTCTATTTATGTGACTGTGTGTACATGTGTGCATATTATGCATGTGTGTACATGTCTGTCAGTGTATGACTGTGTACGTATGTCTATGTGAATGTGTGCATGTGTGTGCATGTCTGTCAGTGTGTGTGACTGTGTGTTTACATATGTCTATGTGAATGTGTGCATGTGTACATGTCTGCTAGTATGTGCCTTTGTGTGTGCATGTCTGTGTGCCTATGTATGCATGTCTGTGTGTGACTATGTACATCTATGTGAATGTGTGCATGTCTGTGTACGTCTGCTAGTATGTGCCTTTGTGTGTGCATGTCTGTGTGTGACTGTGTACGTATGTGTACATGTCTGTGTGTGCCTATGTATGCATGTCTGTGTGTTTGTGACTGTATGTGTACATGTCTGTGTGTGCCTATGTATGCATGTCTGTGTGTGTGACTGTGTATGTACATCTATGTGAATGTGTGCATGTATGTGTACATGTCTGTTAGTATGTGTGTGCGTGTCATTATGCATGTGTGTACATGTCTGTGACTGTATGTATGTCTATGTGAATGTGTGCATGTATGTGTACATGTCTGTTAGTATGTGTGTCATTATGCATGTGTGTACATGACTATGTAAGTCTATGTGAATGTGTGCATGTATGTGTACATGTCTGTTAGTATGTGTGTGCGTGTCATGCATGTGTGTACATGTCTGTGTGACTGTATGTCTATATGAATGTGTGCATGTATGTATACATGTCTGTTAGTATGTGTGCCTTGTATGTGCATGTCTGGACAGTGTGTGACTGTGTGTACGTATGTCTATGTGAATGTGTGCATGTATGTGTGTGCATGTCTGTCAGTGTGTGGCTGTGTGCTTACATATGTCTATGTGAATGTGTGCATGTATGTGTACATGTCTGCTAGTATGTGCCTTTGTGTGTGCATGTCTGTGTGTGTGACTGTGTACGTATGTGTACATGTCTGTGTGTGCCTATGTATGCATGTCTGTGTGACTGTGTAGGTACATCTATGTGAATGTGTGCATGTATGTGTACATGTCTGTTAGTATGTGTGTGCATGTCATTATGCATGTGTACATGTCTGTGTGACTGTATGTCTATGTGAATGTGTGCATGTATGTATACATGTCTGTTAGTATGTGTGTGCCTTGTATGTGCATGTCTGGACAGTGTGTGACTGTGTGTACGTATGTCTATGTGAATGTGTGCATGTATGTGTACATGTCTGTTAGTATGTGTGTGTGCCTGTTTATGTGTGTGCATGTCTGTCAGTGTGTGTGTGTACGTATATCTATGTGAATGTGTGCATACGTATGTACATGTCTGTTAGTATGTGTGTGCCTGTGTGTGTGCATGTATATCTGTGTCTATGGGAACATATGTACATGTGTGCATGTGTCTAGGTAGGGGTGTGTGTGTCCCTGCACACCTGTATCCATGAGTCAGCACCTATCTGTGCTGGTGTCCATGTGTGAATGTGTGTGCATGTGTCTGTGTGTGGGAGTGTGCTGCAGCCTCTGTCAAGGCAGGGCAGGGGAGGTCTCAGCCTGGCCATCACCTTCCCCACCAGGCGCCCCCACATTGTACAGCCCTCCCCTCCAACAGGGACCTCCCTTTAGGCCATCCCAACATCTGGGCCTGTGTCCCAGCCAAGTGGCTGTTCCCAAGTGGGGACTCAGAGGGGTTTTCATTTCCATAAAGGGTACCCCTTCCCCAGCTGTTCCCAAAGAATCCACAAGGTCAGGGAAAAGGTGCTTGGAGGGCACATGCAGTTCAGGATGAGCCAGCAAGTTTGAAAACGGATGCACCAACATCCCATGCGGAGAATTCCTCACCACCAGCAGTGGGGAGAAGAGAGAGACTGGGACAGAGAGAGAAACACAGAGGGAGACAAAGAAAGAGATGGGGGAAGGGAAACCTGGCCTCGGAGCACAGGCCTGGCCACATGTCGTGCAGGTGCGGGTACAGGTGCAGGTTGCTAATCCAGGCCAACCCTCAGGGAAGGCCACCAGCCCTCGGTGAATATTGTGCTTTGTATCTCAGATAAAGCCAGGTGATGGGATCAGGAACCACAGCCTGGATGATTTTCCGGCAGGCAGGCCGGGGATCAAAGTGCACAAACAGGCTCCCAGGCAGGCACCGGAGGACCTGGGCAGTAGGGCTGGGCTGGGATAAGTCTCTAGTCTCGGATCATTTCTGGAATCAAGGGGTGATTATGGAGACCTCAGCAGGCCCTGGAACCTGATGGCCTTCGAGGATTTAGTAAAAAGTCACTGGGCCTGGGAAGCTTTAGCAGAGACACTGTGGGGAGTTACCCAGTCTTCTCTGAATTAGAAACTCGGGCAAGGAACCCAGCAGGGAGAGGCAAGGCCAGGGAGGGAGAACAACAATATAAAAAGGAAAACAAGATAAGGAGAAGGTCTGGGCGGTGGAGAGCAAGGAGGCATGTGGGGGTGGCCCAGCCTGGAGGAATGTCGGGGGAGGGGCACGGCTCCAGCAGAGAGGGCTGGGGAGGTGGGAGGAGTGTCCCTTCCAGCAGAACAGGGCTTGAAACCACAGGTGTGTGGGGAGGGCCAGAGCCTGGGAGGGGTGCTGGGCTTAGTATCCGCCTGCTGGAAGGTGGGGGTCTGCAGAGCAGGCACTTCCCTCACAACCAGGAAGCAGCCCCAGCTTGGGGCAGTGGGACACGCTTCAGGCAGGTGAGCAGGTGGCCAGGTGGGCACAGAGGTTAGCACACAAGTGAGCCTGGAGCCTGGGAGGGGTGCCGGGCTTAGTATCTGCCTGCTGGAAGGGCTGCACAGCGGGTGCTTCCGGGAAGAAGGCGCAACCAGGAAGATGCCCCAGCAAGGGGCAGTGGGACACACTTCGGGCAGGTTAGCAGTTTAGCAGGTGGACATGAAGGTGAGCACACTGGAGAGCTGGCTCCAGCTGTCCCTTCCCTCCCTCGTAGGAGCCTGCCCAGGGGAAACAGCCAGGGCTGGGTAGGTGCGTGTTAACTAACGGCGGCCAGGCACTTCCCACATCCTAAAATGGCAGGGGGCTGGGACCACCTTCCCTACAACCACCCGTGGAGGACCACACATCAGGATCCTGGGCCTGGGGAGGCCAGGGACCCAAGGATGCTCTGACAGTCACCATGGCCAGGTCCTGGTCACCTCTTGAGCTCAGGCCACAGCCCTTTTCCTCAATCAGCCGCACTGCACAAAATGTAAAGTGAGCAACATTTCAAAGACAAGGAGCCCCTGGCCTTTGACAGGGAGAAGTTCATGGATGATTTTCATGCATTAGCAGGAAGTTGTGCTTGGACAGTCCCCTCGGGCCTGGGGTCTCCCAAGAGTGTGGCAGAGGATGCAGTGGAGACTAGGGTCCTGGGAGGGGTGGGCCTGGTGTGCTGGAGCCGGCTGGGACTCAAGCCAGCCTCTGGACCCTGCCCCTGCCCCTGCCCCAACCAGGCTGTCCCCAGCATCCACCTGCCGGCAGGAACCGGAAACAGAAACAGAAACAGACAGCAAGCTAATGGCCAGATCCAAAAACCAGAGGGAAAGCGGGTTGTTATCATTTGGCATGGGGGCTGGGAAGGAGGGCAGAACGCTGGGAACTGAGATGACGCTGAAAAGAAGCCGACAGAGGCTGCTGGGGCCAGGCTGTGAGAGGATGGGAGGGATGCCTCCCGGGCACCAAAGCCACTCAGCCACATGCAGGAGGGTGAGGAGATGAACATGCCAGCACAGAAACCATGTGACGCAACCGCAGTTGTATTAAAGTGATGGGGTCCTGAGTGCTGTTTTCATTTTCTTATCTTCATTTCACACCTTTGTAAATAAAGTTATTAAATTAAAATTGGAAAACCAGGTAGGGGACTGACTTGGGAAGAACAGCACAGTACATCCAGGCAGCGTCCAGTCTGATTGACATGGGCCCTGCAGGTCCTGGAGGACAGCGAGGAGGGGCTGCGGCCAGGCCTTGCAGGGCTGCGCGGAGCGGGTACTGTGGGGTGGGGGTGACCCTGCTGCCCTCAACTCCCATCACCAGCACGCCCCATGCCACAGTCCCTGTGCACGCAGAATGTTCCGGGTGAGGACGCTGTTGGAGGACACTGCACCAGCCACACGACCAACCCCACAGCTGGGCGGCGACTCCGAGCGACCAGGGCACACAGGCCCACCTGCCTCAGCCAGCAGCACAGGCCAGGATTCATCATTAAAGAAACAGGAAAACAGAGAGGCCGGGGAGAGCGACCAAGCTAGGCTGAGCTGAAGGAGGGCACGGGCCTGTGGGGCTGTGGGCAGCCCCCGGGCAACAGCCCCAGGTGCGTCATCTCTGCAGGGATGAGCTATGTCCACAAGTGCACAGTGGCCATCTGACAGCCTCAGAGCTTTCAGAAAGGCAGATCTAAGAGGGGTCAAGTCAACCACTAGAAATGTAAGCGGAAACAGGCCTCCATGGTTCATCCAGAACCACTCTTTCATCCCGGGTGACATTTATTCCACCCCAGGAGAATTCTTTAAAAGGAACATTCCAGCAGAACGGAAAACTTCGCTATGAAATCACCCTGACTTCAGGGCGGGAGGGACGTCAACGGGAATCCACACCTTCTCGGACTTTCCAAAGTCACCCGCTCCCGAGCCCGCAGGATAGAGTGGCCAGGCCGTCCTCACACGGCGGCTCCTGCGGGAGGCGGCCCCGGGCGCCCCGCCTTCTCCAAGGACATTCCTAACCGAGGTGCCGGGGCCAGCACCGTCGGGCTCCTGAAAGCACCCGCTGCCTCCAGGAGAGCACCTGGCAGAACGGGGCCGCGGAGCCGCCCTCCCCTCCCGCATGCGGCCCCGCTCGATTCCTGGAATCTTATTTTTGGACCTGCTGCCGCAAGCAGTTCCCGCCCTCGGCCCTTTCAATTCCTCTTTCGGGAGGGGACTGCTCTCCACCCCTCTCAGGAGGACGAGGCGCGGCCCGGGGGTTCCTCACCTCCAGCCCAGCAGAGGGAGGGCCGCGGGGAAGCGGTTTGGGTTTTAACCATTGTGTTTCTCTCGCACTTTGGAAACGGACTCCCGGCTTCCCCGCGGGGAGGCGTCTGACAGCGAGCGTTTCCCGGACAGCCCCGCAGCGTCTCACCGGCCTGCGCGGGGATCCCGGGGTCGCCGGGGGATGGGCGTGGGGGACGCGGGGCGGGCCGGGGCTCCTGGGACCCTGAGGCCAGGCCTCGCCGCGCGGAGCTGGGGGGCGGCAGCAGCGCTGCCTCTCGGGAGCGGTTGGAGGCGCGCGGGCGCCAGGGGTTCCCCCGCATCCCGCCCGCCGGCTGCTCACCGTCTCGGGGTCGTTCTCGAACACCTCCCGCGCCTCCTCGCGGCTGCACAGCTCCTCCACGCACTCCCTCTCCAGGTGGCCCTGCTTGGCCTCCTCGAAGACCTGAAAGGCGCGGCGCTGCCTGGGCCGCAGGAACTGCGTGGCCTCGCGCGCCGGCAACAGCGCGGCTGCCCGGAGGGAGAGAGGGGGACGCGTCAAGCCGCGCCCGGAGCCTCCTCCCGCCGCCCGGGGACGGGGTCTCGGGCCCGCGGGACTCACCAAGCGCGCACTCCGCGGCCAGCAGCAGCAGCAGCAGCTGCGGCGCGCGGCGCAGGGCGGCGGGCCCGGGCGAGAGCGAAGGGGCCATGGCGGGCCGGGGACGCGCGGTCAGAGCGCCCGGGAGGCCGAGGCGAGCCGCGGGCGCCGCGGGGCGGAGGCTCCGGTCATCCCGTCCTGGCGGCCCTGAAGGTCACATCGCGGCGGCGGCGGCGGCGGCGGCTGCGGCACCTCAAGCGCTCGGTCTGGGCGTGTTCGGGCGGCTGCGCGCGGGGAGGCGGCGGGGGCGGGACCAGCGCGCGGGCGGGGCGCGGGTTCCCGGGAGGATCCGGGCGCGGGGAAAGCGGAGCGTCCGGGACGCGGCGGGACTCGAGTGTTTCGGAAAAGGAGCGTCTCCCCAGGCGGTGGTTGTCTTCACTAGCGATGGGGTAAAAGGAGGACGCAATACCTGGTTCAACTTGAGCAGGTACATTTTGACCATATTCCAGGTGTCATGTGAAGATTTAAGCCTCTTTCCAACCCCCACTCCCCCCGAATCTACTGCATCCTTTTTGGAGTCTTCATTCTTAGGCACATTTTGTCAAGACTTAAAACCTACCAAAGAAAAGATACACTGAGGTCAGATCCAATCCCACTGGGGGCCAGCGAGTGAAATGCGACGGTTTCCTTTTATAATCTCTGTTTTTCATAATGATGACATTAAAAATCTTGAGGTTTCCCAGTAGATATTTAAGCTGAAAGCAACATTGTGCTTGTCTTCAGAGACCAAGACTTTCTGGCTCTTGTCTTGGAATATTTCGCAAAGTCATAGGCAAAACACACACAAACAAACAGAACCAAAACACAGCAGACCACTCACGGGGGACCGAACCAGGCAGTTAGCCCAGCATCCCCCTGCTGCGGGAGGAGGGAGCTTGGATACTCCTCTCTGGAGAATCCTGCTCTGGAAATCCCCACACCCCAAAATGCAATGTAGAGGGGCAGTGAGTCAGCACCTCACCCCAAATGAATGGCCGTTCTGCTCAGCAGGCTCAACGCTTAGATCCCCAGATCCAGTTTCTCTTTGCTTTCTGTAATTGGAAGAATGGAATAGGATTGCTGCTAGAAATCTTTGAGGTCACTGGTTTGAAAGTGGGATTATGAGCATGAATTTTTGTTGTTGTTGTTTGTTTGTTTTCAGACGGAGTCTCGCTATGTTGCCCAGGCTGGGGTGCAGTGGCGTGATCTCTGCTCACTGCAAGCTCCGCCTCCCGGGTTCACGCCATTCTCCTGCCTCAGCCTCCCGAGTAGCTGGGACCACAGGCGCCCGCCACCACGCCCGGCTGATTTTTTTTATTTTTAGTAGAGACGGGGTTTCACCGTGTTAGCCAGGATGATCTCAATCTCCTGACCTCGTGATCCGCCCGCCTGGGCCTCCCAAAGTGCTGGGATTACAGGTGTGAGCCACCGCGCCTGGCCGAGCATGTTAATTTAAGCAAATGAATGTCCCTGGGAATGATCTTCAAGGAGAATTAAAGTGGGATAGAGAAGTCATCTATCTGCACCTGTGTCTGAACCAGAATGACGAGGCACTTCCATGTCAGCTAGTTACTGGAGCAGGCGGAGTAAGGAGTACCCCTGGGCTTCTGCCCCGAAACCACCACGGCTACTTCAAAACAATATTACATTAATTTTCCTGCTTGTTCTTGAGAAGCACTGGTTTGAAAAATTGGATGGGGTGATACATGTTTTAATCAGTATTTACAAGGCTCCTTAATCACTTCATCAGACAATTCATTGAGCACCTACTATGTGCCAGGCAGTGTAATTCATTGAGCACCTGCTGTGTGCCAGGCAGTGTCTGAGGCACTTCTAGCTATTATTTCCTAAGGGTTCCAGCAGCCCATGGATAAACTTCAAAGAGTGTAAGCTCCTAAAAATTGTTCGTATTTTCTGCACATTTTTGTAGTTTTGGAGAAGAGAGTTAATGGAGTTCTTGCCATTCTCAGAATTATTTGATCCCTTTAGGAATGAGCATCTCTAGCCTCTGCCTGTTCATCTGGGACAATCTGCACCTGGGCGTGGACCTGCTGCTTCAGATCAGTAGGTATCAGAATGAACTCAGTTGGATGGGGCAGTTCAGGACCCCTGGCCTCCTTTTAGTCTGGACCCCACTCTCATTCCTCATATTCTCAATTCACTCTTTCTACTGAGTTACTATCCTAGTAATGACAATGCCTCCTATCATCTAGAGACTTGGTTTGATACAATGCATTCACATACAACTGCTCGTTTTGATTTCTATAACTGGGGAATACAGAAAGCAAATATGCGGTGCAATGGAGGATGTCTCCATTACCCCAGATAACTCCAAAATTCTTCACCTAGTTACCAGTGCAGGAAATTCGTTCGAAGGCAGAAATGGAAAATGAATAAGAAACAATTTGGATGTGTTCCAAAAATGGAGAGTTGTCAGGCACTATATCATACAACCTGAAATATCAATGGTGAAGTAGACAGTTCACCTCCACAGGGGGCAGGAGGTTGGACCCAGGGCAATGGATGTTTTATATGGATGGTTAACCGGTCTGTGGCCATGAGGTGGAAAGCTGTGTACACCTGTGAAGCCATCATCACAATCAAGTTAGGGAACATATCCATCACCCAAAAAAGTGTTCTCATGCCCTTTGGTAATTCCTCCCTCCTAAATGTCCCCACCCTACCCCACATCCCAGTTTCTATGCAAAAACCGCTGACCAACTTTCTATCACTATAGATTTGTTTGTATTTTCTAGACTTTTATATAAAAAGAATTATACTGTATGTACACTTTTTTGTCTGTTTTTTTCACTTAACATATTTATTTTCAGAATCATCTATCTTGTTGCAGGTGTATTCCTTTTTATTGCTCAGTAGTATTCCACTGTATGGATATAACACAATTTGTTTATCATTCACCTGTTGAGGGACATTATACTTGCTTCTAAATTTTTACTATCACAAATAAAGCTGCTGTAGGCATTCATGTGTGTGTCCATCGTGTGGACATTGTGTGCACACGTGCTTCCATTTCTCTTGGGGAAATATCTAGGAGCAGAGTGTCTGGATCCCATAGTAGGTATTTGTTTAACTTTTTAAACTGTTTTTCAAAGTGGTTATACTGTTTTTCATTTTCACCATCAATGCATGAGGGTCCCAGTTGCTCCACATCCCCACCCATACTTTCTGTGGTCACTTTAAAAATTTTTAGCCGCCCCGTCCGGGAGGGAGGTGGGGGGGTCAGCCCCCCGCCCGGCCAGCCGCCCCGTCCGGGAGGTGAGGGGCACCTCTGCCCGGCCGCCCCTACTGGGAAGTGAGGAGGCCCTCTGCCCGACCACCACCCCGTCTGGGAGGTGTACCCAACAGCTCATTGAGAACGGGCCATGATGACAATGGCGGTTTTGGGGAATAGAAAGGGGGGAAAGGTGGGGAAAAGATTGAGAAATCGGATGGTTGCCGTGTCTGTGTAGAAAGAGGTAGACATGGGAGACTTTTCATTTTGTTCTGTACTAAGAAAAATTCTTCTGCCTTGGGATCCTGTTGATCTGTGACCTTACCCCCAACCCTGTGCTCTCTGAAACATGTGCTGTGTCCACTCAGGGTTAAATGGATTAAGGGCGGTGCAAGATGTGCTTTGTTAAACAGATGCTTGAAGGCAGCATGCTTGTTAAGAGTCATCACCACTCCCTAATCTCAAGTATCCAGGGACACAAACACTGCGGAAGGCCGCAGGGTCCTCTGCCTAGGAAAACCAGAGACCTTTGTTCACTTGTTTATCTGCTGACCTTCCCTCCACTATTGTCCTGTGACCCTGCCAAATCCCCCTCTGCGAGAAACACCCAAGAATGATCAATAAAAAAATAAAAATAAAAAAAGAAACCCTACACTCCACTGAAAAAAAAAATTTTACTCACTCTAATATGTATATAATGGTATTTCATTGTAGTTTAAATTTGCATTTTTCAAATAACTAGTGATGTTGAACAAATTTTATTGTACTTATTGCCATCCAGATATCTTCTTTGGTGAAATGTCTGTTTCAGTTTTACTTTCTTTCTTTTCCTTTACTTGGTGATATGGTTTGGCTGTGTCCCCACCGAAATCTCATCTTGACTTCCCACATGTTATGGGAAGGACCTGGTGAGAGGTAATTGAATCATGGGGGCAAGTCTTTCCCATGCTGTTGTCATGATAGTGAATAAGTCTTACAAGATCTGATGGTTTTAAAAAGAGGAATTCCCCTGCACAAGCTCTCTGTCTTTGCTTTCTGCCATCTGTGTAAGACGTGACTTGCTCCTCCTTACCTTCTGCCATGATTGTGAGGCTTCCCCAGCCACGTGGAACTGTGAGTCCAGTTAAACCTCTTTCCTTTGTAAACTGCCCAGTCTCAGGTATGTCTTTATCGGCAGCGTGAAAATTGACTAATACACTTGGGATGTTTGGTTTTCCAATTGTTGAGCTGTTTGTTGAGTTTTAAGAGTTCTATAACTATTCTAGAAGCAAGTCCATTATCAGATGTGTGGTTTGCAAATATTTATTTCCAGTCTGCGGCTTGTCTTTTCATTCTATTAAATGTGTCTTTAGCCAGGCATGGTAGTGGGTGCCTGTAGCTTCAGCTACTTGAGAGGCTGAGGCAGGAGGATTTCTTGAGCCCAGGAGTTTAAGCCTGGTCTGCACAATAGAGCAAGACTCTGTCTCCAAGATAAAAAGAAATTAAAGTGTCTTTCAAAGATCAGAATTCTTAATTTTGAAGTGCAGCTTATTTTCTTTAATGGATTCTGCTTTTGGTGTCACATTTGCCTAACTCAAGGTCACAAAGATTTTATTACAGAAGTTCTGTAGATTTCAGTTTTACATTTAAGATGGTGATCCATTTTGAATGAGTTTTTATAAATGCTGAAGTATGAAACAAAGTGTGTATCTGTACGTATGTGCCTAGGGAAATGCAATCATCCCAGCACTGTTAAAAAGACTATTCTTTCTCCACTGACTTGCCTTTGCACCTTTGTCAATAACCAATTGATAATATATGTGCAAATCTATTTGTAGACTCTGTTCTGTCCCATTTATTTGTTTGTCTCTTTTTAAAGTTAATACCACACTGTCTTGACTATAGTAGATTCATAACAAGAATTGAAGTCAGGTAATGTAAATACTCAGGTAGTGTAAATACTCAAACGTTCTTCTTTCTCAAAGTGTGCAGTTGTTTGGTTATTCTGTTTTCTTTGCATCTACATATGAATATTAGAATCAGCTGGTCATTCTTTACAAAAAGCCTGCCAAGATTTTAATTGAGATTGCATTAAATCTATAGGTCAATTTTTAGGCAATGAACAGTTTGACAGTATTGAGGCTTCTGATATGTGAACGCGGTATATCTTTCATTTATTTAAGTCTTCTTAAATTATCTCCACAGTCTTTCATAGTATTCAATGTACAGGCCTGATATATATGTTATTAGATTTGTTTCTAAATATTTCACTTTCTTTGTCCTATTGTAAATGGCATTATTTATTTATTTATTTATTGAGACAAGATCTCACTCTGTCACTGAGGCTGCAGTGCAGTGACGCAATCTCAGCCCACTGCAACCTCTGCCCCCCAGACTCAAGTGATCCTGCCACGTAGCTGGGACTACAGGCATGCGCCACCATGCCTGGCTAATTTTTTGTATTTTTTGTAGAGATGGGCTTTTGCCGTGTTGTTCAGGCTGGTCTTGAATTCCTGGCCTCAAGCAACCCACCCCCCTTAGCTTCCCAAACTGCTGGGATGACAAGTGTGAGCCACTACATCTGGCCTTTGGCATTGTTTTTCATTTCAATCTCTAATTGTTTAAACATTTGATTTTTGTGTATTTATCTTGTATCACACAACTTTGCTTAATTCAATTATTCTGATTTTTTTGTAGCTTCAGTAGAATTTTTCTTACATAGATAATCATGCTGTTTGTAAATATAGACACTTTTACTTCCTCCTTTCAAATCTGGGTGCTATTTAATTCTTTTCTGTCTGATTGCACTGCCTAATAACCTCCCATGCAATGTTGACTAGAAATGGAGACAGTGTGTACCCTTGTGTTGTTCCTGATCCTATGTGAAAATAATCCAGTCTTTCACCATTAAATATAATGTTAGCTGTAGGCTTTTCATAGATTCTCTTTATCAGGTTGAGGAAGTTCTCTTCTATTTCTAGCTTCCTGCAAATTATGTTTTAAAAATTAGGAATGTGTATTAAATATTATCAAAGTTTTCTTCTGCATCTATTCTATTGAGATGATCATATGGGTTTTTTTATTCATTAATATGTGAATTATCTTGATTGATTTTTGAATGTTAAATCAATCTTGTGTCCCTGAAATAATCCTAACCCCACTTGGTCATGATATATCATAGTTTTAAATTATTGATGAATTCAATTTGCAAAAACATGTTAAGAATATTTACATTGATGTTTATGAGGGTACTGATCTGTTGTTTTCTTTCTTTGTCTGGTTTGATATCTAAGAAATGTTGGCCTCATAGAATTGTTAAGTGTTTCTTCCGCTTTAATTTTATGGAAGTGTTTGTGTAGAATTGGTCTTATTTCTTCCTTAGATGATTGGCAAAAATCACAATGATGCCATCAGGACCTATAGTTTTCTTTGTGGGGAGGTTTTTACCTATAAATGTAATTTCTTTAATATATATTCTTTAAGGCTGGGTACGGTGGCTCACGCCTGTAATCCTAGCACTTTGGGAGGCCGAGTTGGGTGGATCACTTGAGGTCAGGAGTTTGAAACCAGCCTGGCCAACATGGTGAAACCCTGTCTCTACTAAAAATACAAAAAAATTAGCCAGGCATGGTGGCGGGCACCTGTAATCCCAGCTACTTGGGAGGCTGAGGCAGGATAATTGCTTGAACCCTGGAGGTGGAGGTTGCAGTGAGCTGAGATTGTGCCACTGCACTCCAGCCTGGGCGACAGAGTAAGACTCTGTTTCTATATATACTTTAATAGATAGTCTATTTCTTTTTTATTGGCTTTGGTAGTTTGTTTTTTTGGGGAAGTTTTCCCATTGTATCCAAGTTGTTTACTGTGCTAACATAAAGCTGCTCATAATAGTTTCTCAACACTCTTTGTTGTTGTTGTTTGAGACAGAGTCTCGCTCTGTCACCCAGGCTGGAGTGCAGTGGAGTGATCTTGGCTCACTGCAATCTCTGCCTCCCAGCTTCAAGCAATTCTCCCGCCTCAGCCTCCTGAGTAGCTGGGACTACAGGTGTGTGCCACTATAGCTGGCTAATTTTTGTATTTTTAGTAGAGACGAGGTTTCACCATGTTAGCCAGGCTGGTCTCGAACTCCTGACCTCAAGTGATTCACCCGTCTTGGCCTCCCAAAGTGCTGGGATTATAGGCATGAGCCACCTCGGCTAGCCCCTCAATACTCTTTGAATCTCTGTAGATCTGTATTAATGACACCTCTCTTGATAGTGACAATTTGTCTTTTTATTTAATTTTTTGTCATGGTCATTCTGGCTGGAGATTCAACAAGTTTATTGATCTCAAATAACTAGCTTTTGGGTTTATCGATTTTTCTCTATTTTCTGTATTATTTGTCATTTTTTATTTTCTCATTATACAATTTTTATAATGTTCTTTCTTCTGCCCACAGAAGAAAAATGAAATAAAAATGAAATAAAGTGTGTTTCATTTGCTCTTCTTTATTCAGTTTCTTAAGTAGAAAGCTGAGGTCATTTATTCGAGATCTTCCTTCTTTTCTAATGTAGATGTTTATGCTAGAAATTTTCCTTAAAGCCGTGCTTTAGCTGTATCCTACACATTTTAAATCCCACACTTAAGTGAGTCATTTCCATTCAGTTCAGAATACTTTATAATTTTCCTTTTGATATCTTCATTGACCCATGGATTATTTAGAACTGTGTTATTTAGTTTCCAACAATTTGGGAAGTTTCTAGATATCTTTGTGGTTATCAATGTATAATTTGGCTTTATTGTAGAAAGAGAACATACTGTATATGACTTGAATTCTTTTTAATTTATTGAAACTTGTTTTGTGGCCAGAAGATGGTACATCTTGGTAAACGTCCTGTGTGTTCTAAAAAAGAATGTTTATTCAGCTCCTATTGGATGGAATGCTCTATAAATGTCAACCAGGTCAAGTTGGATGATAGTCTTGTTCAAGTCTACCATATCCTTGCTCATTTTCTGCCTTCTTATTCTATCAGTTATTAAGAATGGAGTGCTGAACTCTCCAACTAGAATTTGGATTTGTCTATTTCTCCTTACAATTCAAGTTTTGCTTCATGTATTTTGAAACTTTTTTACTTGGTGCATAAATATTTAAATTACGTACTCCTGAGTAATTGATCCCTTTATCATAATGAGATATAATATTCTTTGCTCTGAAATCTATTTGTCTGATTGTTAAAATAACCATGCCAGCTTTCTTTTGATTAGTGTTTGCATTATATATATATATATATATAATTTTTAAAATTCTTTTTCCTTTATTCTATTTTTGTCTTAATGTTTAAGGTAGGTTTCCTGTAGGTAGCATGTAACTGAGTCTTCCTTTTTTAAATCCAATCTGATATTTACCTTTTAATTGGGTTATTAGATCATTTTCATTCAATATACTTATTAAAATGATTTGGTCTAAACCTACTACCTTGTTATTTGTTTTCTATTACTCCCATTTGTTGTTTCCTTTCCTTTATTTTATTTTATTTTTTGCCTTCTTTTGGATTAACCAAATTTTTTATGATAGAATTTTCTCCCTTGTTGGCTTATTAACTGCAATTGTTTGTTGTGTTATTTTGGTGTTGCTGTGTGATTTTTATTATACAGCTTTAACTTATTAGAGTCACCTGTTCACTTGCAGCAGTCTGCTTCTATTTCTCTCCTCTCTTTATGTTGTTGTTTTCTTGCATTTTACTTCTATATGTGTCATAAACCTTGCAATACAGAGTACTATTGTTTGCTTTAAACAATGCTTTTAAAATATTTAAATGATGAGAAAAAAATATTTACTCATATCTTTATCATTTCCAGCACTGCTATTTCTTTGAGTAGATGCAGACTCAATCTGGTATCTTTTTTTTTTTTTTTTGTCTGCCTCAGTAAAAACCTTTAAAATGTTCTTGAGCGTATGTATGTTGGTGACACATTCTTTCAGTTTTTGTATGTCTTTAAAAGTCATTTTTTTGAAGGATCTTTTTTACTGCAAATAGAATTCTAGATGGACAGTTTCCCCTGTGCCTTTTAATTTCAAAGACATTGCCCTCCCGTATTTTAGCATATATTGTCTCCAACAGGAAATCGGCAATCATTCTTTTCTTTGTTCATCTGTACATAATGTCTTTTTCCTCTGGCTGCTTTTAAGATTTTCTCTTTATCACTAATTTCAAGAAACTTTATCACATTGTACCCTGTAGTTTCTCTCAGGTTTCTTGTGCTTGGGGTTCATTGAGATTCTTGGATTTGTGGGTTTCTAATTTTTATATTTGGAAAATTTTGGGGTATTATTTCCTCAAATATTGTTTTCTGTCCCCAAGATGCTCTCCTTATTTAGGGAACTCCAGGTATACATACAGATGGCTGCTTGGAGTTTTCCCAGAGCTCACTAAGGCTATTCTGTTTTCATTGTTTAGTCTTTCCCCCTCTGCGTGGGTTTGATTTCAGTTAGCTTCTATTACTATGCCTTCAAGTTCCCTATTCTTTTGCAATGTCATATCTGCTGTTAATTCTATCCAGTATATCCTTCATCTCAGACAATTTATTTTTTATCTCTAAAGTCTTGCTTTTAGGCATTGTTAGGGCAAAACCAGAGCCGCAGGGAGTCAGGGCAAAAGCTGCCACTCCAGGCAAAGCCTTTGTGAGCGCTCACCCTAATGTCCTGTGGATAATGAGATTTTCCACGCTGAGGGATGGAAACGGGAACTATTCCGGACCTGTGAGAGCTGCGGGATTGGTCCCTCTACTCCTTTCAGGTGGTTCTTTTTTTTTTTAGAGACTCTTGCTCTGTCACCCAGGCTGGAGTGCAGTGGCCCGATCTCGACTCACTGCAACCTCTGCCTCCCGGGTTCTAGGAATTCTTCTGCCTCGGCCTCCTGAGTAGCTGGGATTACAGGCACATGCCGCCATGCCTGGCTAACTTTTTGTATTTTAGTAGAGACGGGGTTTCACTGTGTTGCCCAGGCTGGTCTCGAACTCCTGAGCTCAGGCAATCCACCCGCCTCGGCCTCCCAAAGTGCTAGGATTACAGGCATGAGCCACTGCACCCGGCCCAGATGGTTCTTTCTCTGGCCTTGGGTCGTTTCTTCTCAAGGGTGTGGTGATTTAGCTGGAAACTAGAGAGGATCTTCTGCAAATCTCCAAAGTCCTTTTTCCGTGAGCCTCTCTCTTCTCTCATGCCCCTCCCCGTGCCCTGCTGCCTCAGCCTCCTGGTCACCTGGCTCTGCCCCCACTCGAGGGGTCATCGGGCTCTGCCTGGCTTCTCCTCTGAGTGATGTCAGAGCTCTCTCCAGGCCATGAGCGGGCAGTCATTGGCTCACCTCCAGGCATCTGACGGATCCTCCGGGTGTGTGATGGGCCTTGCAGGTGTGTGAGGGGCCCTCCAGTTGTGTGACGGGCCCTGCAGGTGTGTGATGGGCCCTGCAGGTGTGTGACGGGCCCTCCAGGTATGTGACAGGCCCTCCAGGTGAGTGGTGGGCCCTCCAGGTGTGTGACGGGCCCTGCAGGTGTGAGGGGCCCTCCAGGTGTGTGAGGGGCCCTCCAGGTGTGTGATGGGCCTTGCAGGTGTGTGAGGGGCCCTCCAGGTGAGTGGTGGGCCCTCCAGGTGTGTGACGGGCCCTGCAGGTGTGAGGGGCCCTCCAGGTGTATGATAAGCCCTCCAGGTGGATGGAGTGCATTGGCCTGGAGGTTCCCTGTTTCCCATCACACAGCTCCTCACCGCTCACGGCCTTGCCTGTCGAGAGCAAGGAGGTCGAGAGTGTGTGTGTTGATGGTGATGGGCGGGAGGGGGTCGGGGTGAGGGTCTGTCTGGTAGTTTTCGGTAAAGGAGTTCTTTCCTGGGGCAGCACCCACACCGGGCCGTGTGGGAACCTGAGGCCCCGCTTTACCCAGGAAGCCTAGCAGAGAGAGTTTCCTGGGAAGGGGAGGTAAGTGGGGCATTTATCTCACTCCCCATTTTAGACAAGAATGGAGCAGCGCAGGCCACGGAGATGAGGCATGGGCTCTGGACTGTGGCGTCAGCCGCCTGGGTGGGAATTCCAGCTCCACTTGCCACCCTCACAGTGGGGCTGGGCCCAAGCAGGTGTCGTCTGAGACCAGCAACAGCTGCCTGATCCCCAAGGGAGAGACAGCCCCGTCCCAGGAGGCAGCCCGGGGTTGCCAAGCTCAGGGGGAGGCAAAGGCCACACTGGGCCCAGCTAGCATCACCTGTGGGTAGCTGAGCGAGGGTAACAGAGCCGCCTGCCCCGAGGGGCACCACGATGCGGGATTTCCACGTCTATTTGAGCAACATAATTAGCCGCTTCATCACATTTTCTACTTCTCTGTGTCTGTAACATGGTCTGAGCTCGCTCTCCAGAGAAGCACGGTCCCTCCTGTCTGACCCGGTCATGGGATTGGGGGTTGTCACCCAGAACAGCAAATGTGCATCACGCTGCAGGACCTGCTGGTTGGTCGGAAGCAACTGGAAGGTCTGGCAAAATTCTGGTCCAGTGAGGCCTCCCTTTCACAGAGATGGGAGGTGGCCATGTGGCTGGCCCTGCTGCCGCTGCCAGGGCTGCATCAGGGGCACCCGAGCAAGGCTCCTCCAGCAGGACACCGGGAGCCAGGGCCACAGCAACACCCAAGCAACCGTGTGCCCTCTCCTTGGGGTGGGAAACCAGCCAGCTCCACCTGAAATCTAGAGTGCCCAGAGCCTTGAGGCACTTGGTTCCTGACACCTAGAAGTTCAGCTCTTGGGACGTCGGAAGTGAGGTGTTGCTTTCAAGGACAGGAAGCCCGTACACTGGCCAGGAGCAGGAAGACGCAGCAAAGCTCAGCCCCAGATGGCTTGGCTGGATCTTTCCATGAAGCTGCTGAGGAAACAGTACTGTCATGCCTCTGCAGCTTCTGATGACGCCCTGAGGCCAGTCCTCAGCCTGGGGCCTGGGAGTGACTTCAGGGCTGCAGAAGAAAAGGGGTGTGGGTGTCACTGTGGTGTGGGTATCACTGAGGTGTGGGTGTTGCTGCAGCATGGATGTCCCTGTGGTGTGGGTGTCCTTGTGGTGTGGGTGTCCCTGTGGTGTGGGTGTCGCTGCTGCATGGGTGTCACTGAGGCGTGGGTGTCACTGAGGTGTGGGTGTCGCCGTGGTGTGGGTGTCGCTGAGGTGTGGGTGTCGCTGCTGTGTGGGTGTCGCTGAGGTGTGGGTGTCGCTGAGGTGTGGGTGTCGCTGTGGTGTGGGTGTCGCTGAGGTGTGGGTGTCGCTGAGGTGTGGGTGTCCCTGTGGTGGGGGTGTCACTGAGGTGTGGGTGTCGCTGAGGTGTGGGTGTCGCTGTGGTGTGGGTGTCCCTGTGATGTGGGTGTCACTGTGGTGTGGGTGTCACTGCTGCATGGGTGTCACTACCATGTGGGTGTCCCTGTGGTGTGGGTGTCCCTGTGGTGTGGGTGTCCCTGTGGTGTGGGTGTCGCTGCTGCGTGGGTGTCACTGAGGCGTGGGTGTCACTGAGGCGTGGGTGTCCCTGTGGTGTGGGTGTCACCGTGGTGTGGGTGTCGCTGCTGCGTGGGTGTCACTGAGGTGTGGGTGTCACTGTGGTGTGGGTGTCCCTGTGGTGTGGGTGTCACTGTGGTGTGGGTGTCACTGCTGCATGGGTGTCACTACCATGTGGGTGTTGCTGCTGTGTGGGTGTCACTGCAGCGTGGGTATCACTGAGATGTGGGTGTCGTTGCCACATCGGTGTCGCTGCAGTGTCAGTGTCACTGCCGTGTGGGTGTCACTAGGTGTCATGTAGGTGCCATTGTGGTGTGGGCAGGACGTTTCCCTTCACTCTCAGAGGGACGGACCCGTACCCTGAAGTCCAGATTCACATCCTGTCATGGGGACAGCCTTAATTGTCACAGTCATGCCTCATGACCTTAACTTTGTGACTCCAAGCCTTCCAGACTGGGCAAAACCAGTCAAACAAACAGACACCATGACATGTGTGGCATTCGACACAAAAGCATTGGGCTGATCTGAGGTGGGAGTTTTGCTGGACCAGGGACTCATCAAGAATGTGCCTCCTTCAGTCTGGACATGGCCTCTCTCCTGCTTTGAAACCCTTCAGGGTTTCATTTATTTTTAGTTTTTATTTTTTAATGCTCAGGGAAGTCAGTGAAGTCAGGTGGAGATGGAGGAGGTGTTCTGTGTTTCACACTCAGGCATCGGCCTTGTGTGGGTAGCGTGTGGGTGGGGACTCTGAGGGTTTCGAGCCCTGAGGTGTCCTGTTTTGGGCTGGATGGGGAACTGCTCAGCTCCTTCCACTGCATCAGGCCCCGGAAAGTGCTCTGCAAGGAGGAAGGGGCTCAGGAGGGCTGCCCGCCTCACCGTCCTCCTCCCAGGAGCCTGTGGTGAACGGGCATGAGCTCATCAGACAAGACCCAGAGCGGAGGACAGAGGGGCCGTACCAGGACCACCTGGTGGAGGGATGCCCAGCCTCGAGGAGCACCTGAACCTGGAGTCTGTGTGGGGATCAAGACGGCCCACATGGGGGAGGCACAGAATCTCCTAGGAGTCCTGGTTTCCAGGATAACGGCTGCTTTCCCAGAGCCTGAGGGATATTGTGTCCTTCTGTTCTCTAGGGAAGGGCCCTTCCTGGAGGTGAGCTATAAGCAAAGTCATTTCAAGGGGGTTGCTTGGGGAGCTTTGATGTGGGGCCCCAAATGCACGTGGGTCCTAGCAATACCATTGTGAGGTAGAGGGGCCACTGCGCCTTTCCAGTGCCTGGCTCTGGCCTTAGTCAATGCCCCCGCTCTCGTGTGGAGGGGTGGCCGTGGCATGACCCCCGTACATAAGGAAAGACACAGGCTCCTCAAGCAATGAGCGGCGGTATCGGGGTTGACCTGCTAACATCATTGCCTCTGGCTGAGGAGGGGAAACCCACTTTGTACTTTATACTTTTGTTTCTGCACCCATTGATTTTTAAGCAAAAGCATGTATTACTATCCTAACCAACATAATTGAAAATTTCCAGAGAGCCCCTTCTGAGGGGGAGACTTTCATGGAAACTCAGAGAGGCTTCCATTAGTGACGGGAGAAACAGGCCTGGCCCTCCACACGGACACGCATCCGTCACAGCCAAGGATGAAGGCCTGTGTGCTGTGTGGTTGTCTTAGGCTGTTTTTATGAGACGGAGTCTTGCTCCGTCGCCCAGGCTGGAGTGCAGTGGCGTGATCTTGGCTCACTGCAAGCTCCACCTCCCAGGTTTCACGCCATTCTCCTGCCTCAGCCTCCCGAGAAGCTGGGACTACAGGCGCCCACCACCACGCCCGGCTAATTTTTTGTATTTTTTTAGTAGAGACGGGGTTTCACTGTGTTAGCCAGGATGGTCTCGATGTCCTGACCTCGTGATCCGCCCACCTCGTCCTCCCAATACTGGGTGAATTATCACACTTCTTTCTGACCATTCACTTTTCTGTCTTTGTAACAGCCATCAGGGTCTTTGAGAAAGTTTTGTAACTTAGTTCATTGATTTGGAAAATTATGCCAATAACCACCCTTCCTAGCAAACTGTCCCTGAAGAAGACCACGACAGTTCATTTAGTTTTCACAAACAGTATTAGGAGATGACTTGGAATTTTCTGGGGAAATCATTGAATATACTTCTGAGCGCAAACCCAGTGGCACAGGGAGTCCTTGGTCGCCAGGGCTGTCATCATTTCTGGAGGAGCCGTGTTGCACCTGGGGCCACTGAGACCCAGAAGGTGAGGCCGTCTGATGGGGCTATGGGGAGAATCCCACAAAACCACCATCACACACCCACGTTGGCCCCAGAGGTCCACTTTGTCATTTAAAGCTTACATAATAGAAATAGGGGACCCCTTGAAAACCTTTTCCTCTCTGATTTGGGAAGCTGAACTCTTTTTTCATGACACCAAAGCAAACGGCTTAGCAGTCAGGGTGGGGCTCTACTTTCCTCCCTCCTAGCCTGGTAGGAAAGTGCGTCCATGCGATTGGTGAATCAGAATGGGCCTTCTTCCTGCATATCATTTCTCCACTCCTTTCTTCTAATGGTGGGTGCCTCAGATCTGTCCTGTGGGAGAAAGGACTTCGCGGAGCTCTGTGGGGGCTGCAGCTGAGGAGAGTGCTGGAGTCTTCAGTCGGATCTGCCTTTCTTGCTGACTCAAGAAACAGTAAAAGGTGACAGGAAGGTGGCCCCGGAACAAATGGAGTCCCGCAGTGGCTCCAGCCATGTGGAATAAACCAAATTAGTGCTGGCAGAAACTGAACCTGGATTATGAGTGCTGGCAAAAATGTAAACAAAATTATTAAAAGAAAATTGAACAAACTGCAGTTTTCATCTCCTGTTAAGTGCTAAAGTGTGCCAAGTCCAACTTGTAAACAAACTAATGAGCTTGGCTTTAATTAATGTTAAAAAAGCTGGTTCGACAGAGCCTGAAGAGGCCTATAAATATTATTTTGAAGAGTATCCAAGACACTTAGAGCAGCTGTGTGAGCCTTTAGAATTGACATAGCTATTTTAATATATGCAGAGCTATTTTTAACCTTTCAGCACAGGCCAGTCAGAGTGGGAGCCCAAGGGCAGTGAAGCCGGGGTGCCCATCAGCTCCATCAGCCAGAATGCAACCTTGAAGGTCAAGGGCATTGGCGCAGCAGTGTCCTGGGGCAGTTGGAAAAGTACCACAAACCGGGGAGCTCAAAACCACAGAAATGTATCTTCTCTCAGCTCTGGAGGCCTGAAGTCCAAAATCAAGGTGCCAGCAAGGCTGTGCTCCCCCAACAGCTGGGAGGGTCCTCCCTGCCTCCTCAGCCTCCGAAGCTCCAGATGCTCCCGGGTTTGTGGATTCACAGCTTCCATCTCTGCCTCCACCACCACATGGGCTCCTGTGTCACCCTTCTTCTTATAAGGACACAGTCACGACTTCATCCTAACTACAGTGGTCCTCGTTGTCTTCCATCTCACTTTTCTGGGTTTTAGTCACTCACGGTCAACCACGCTCCACAAATATTACATGGCTACACTTGTGCTTTGGGGGCATTATTAAGTAAAAGAAGGGTGACCTGAACACAAGCACTGTGACACCACAGCCCATCTGGTCACTAGGATGACTGCCAAGTGGCCAATGGCAACCCAGGCTTGGATGGGATGGCTCGGAACAGAATATAACTGAACACTGAGGAATTTTCTATTTCTGGAATTTTCCATCTACATCACAATGCCTGCATCTCTCACCTCCCTTCATCTCACCACGTGGCATTTTACAGCACTTTACATCATCACAAGAAGAAGGGAAAATACAGTATAGTAAGATATGTTGAGAGCGAGAGACCACATTCACATAACTTTTATTACAGTATATTGTTATAACTGTTCTATTTTATCATTGTTATTAATCTATTATTGTGCCTCATTTATAAATTAAACTTTATCGTATTTCTGTACACATGGGAAAAAACACAGTGTATATAGGGTTAGGTACTATCTGAGGTTTCAGACATCCACCAGGGCCTTGGAACATTTTCCCCAGGATAAGGGGTCACTATGGTAATTAGATCTGCAATGACCTTATTTCCAAATGATGTCATATTCTGAGGTGCTGAAGACTCAGATTTTAACATGTATTTTTGGGGAACACAACCAACCCATACCTTGAGTGACAAGGTAGCAGAGCTGGGAGGGACCTCAGGGGGAAGCATCTCTGCCCTGCTTGCTCCAAAGCTGCCACCTCAGCTGTATATCTCCCCAGGGTGGCGGGGCTGGAAGTGCATTCATCTCCTGGATGCTCTGTGGTCCGGGG